>NC_000010.11:56961277-57112792 GCF_000001405.40 Homo sapiens
GTTTATATTTTCTATAATAAATGTTCCCTAAGGAACATATGCAACTTTTATAACATACTAAAATAATTAAAAAATGGGTTTGAAATAGTTTTGTCTTACTCTGTTTTGTTTGTATCCAAACCAGAGTAATCATTACCCAATATCTGGGCATATGGGCATTATTGTACAATATGGTGGTTATTAGCAATTCTGGCCTCTATTTTAAGACTTTTTTTTTCTTTTGTCCCTTTCTTTTCCAAGTGAAATCTTAGTTTATAAGAGCTCTTAAAAAGTTTTAAAGGTTCAATCGATTATAATGCAATTTTTTTAAATTATCAAAATATCTCTCTTAAACATTGGTCTTTCTCAGTGCCAAAAAACCACTAAATAGTTAATCTTGTAGCAGTTACTATCTACAGAAGTTGACTGCTAGAATGAAAATGTCTCTCCTGGTTGGGCAAAGGACAGCCCTTACTGTGACCTATTTATAAGCATTAGATATTAAGTCACTTTCTCTCTGCTCAGGTGAGATGTCTACAAAATATTCATGATGCTTGCTGAGTGTTCTGACTTCAGTTTTATGCCTGGAAATTGAAATACTTTCACAGCCAGAGCTAGGCAAAGACTTTGCAGGCAAGCCTCACTAACATAGCAAGCAGAATTCAAATTTACATGTAGAGTCTCCATTGCAGCATTAATATCTAGCTCAGATCGGCAGCTCGACAGATGTCTGAGAAGAGTTGAGAAATAAAACCTATTTAAGAGGATCTGAACGTGAATCTCGAGAGCCACACACATAGGTCAGCATCTGTAGCCCACAGCCCAGCGGCAATATAATTACAGCGCATGTGGAAAACCCTGTATTCGGAGCTCCCTTGGACCTTCCTGTCCATGCAGATGGAGTAACCTTGGTAAGGCAATTTCCTTTCCAATCCCTTTGATTTTCTATTCATCTTAAGTGAGTTTATTTGGCTGTTTGTGTTTGGCTCATTCTGGAAACAGTCACCATAGGGGAAATCATTTGCGTTTGGGAGTGAAGAGAAACAGAAGAGCAGGTGCAGAGAGAGAACTACATGCTGGGAAGACAAGTACTTCTACCTAGATCTACCCATTACCCACAATACAACTACAGTGAAGGTGAGGCTGAGGGGAGAGGGTGCACACTTTTTCAGTTCATGAAACTTTTATGTTTTCTTTTTGTTTAAAAGATGGCATATTAGAGGCTTTCAATGCATGTCAGCTAAATGAAAATAACAAGATAGTGCATAAAAATCAGTTTTGTGAGCTTAATTCAAGAAGGAAAATCCACCAGAATTGTGACACCCCAGATCCCAGGGAGGAGAACACTGGAAAACAGCCCCTGTGACAGCATCCAGCTGATAAAGGTGAGTGAGGCCCAGTATGTAAGAGAGGCAGCCAGCCAGCCTCCCTCTATGACTGACCTTTCCATTCCACTAGGGATTCAAGCAACCCAGGCTGCGGGAAAGTACTTTGTTTCGCCCAAGTCCTGTAGCTAACTTGGGGAGAGACTTGACTTAAAAACATTGCCTTTCCTTGGCAACTGGGCAGCTTTACTGTACAGGCATGTTAGTCTTAGGCCAGAGATTGGAGTACCTGCTCTGCAGTTGCATAGGGGCCTCCACAGCTAGAACCATGGAAAGTGACTCAGCAGTAAGTCCTGGAATTGTGCTCTCCTTGTTGCAAGCCTGGGACAGGAGAGCTGCCACAGCTACAGTATCCTCTGGATGGTGAGACTTATAGCCAGGGGCAGTTTGGAGACCTGCAACAGGTCTGCATGTGCCATTGCTGAATGCCCCAGGCTGCTCCCCTGGTGAAGCAGGACCCTCTCTGCTCTACCCTCAGGCAGAAATTCAGGCATTTGAAGCACCCACTTGCATGGGCTAGCAGCCTGAGCCACCCCACTCTTCATGGGCTGAGATTGAAGGAGGGCAGGCCCTATCCATTCCATGCCAAGGCCAATCTCCAGGAATTTGGAGCACCCACTCACCTGGTTCTGCAGCCTGAGCTTCTCCACCCTTCCTGTGCATAGATCATGTTGCAGAGTGGCCCTCTCTGCTTCACACCCAAGTAGATCTCCAGGCATTCGGAGCACCCGGTTCAGCAGCCTAAGCCACCCTGCCCTTCCTGTGCAGAGATCCTGGTGCAGAGGAGCCCTCTCCACTGTATGCCCAGACAGATCTCTGGGCATCTGGAGCACCCATTCTCCTGGATTAGGAGTATAGACTGCCCTCCAATCTTGTTTAGACAACTTGCGATAAGTAAGTTTCCCAGCTCCATGTCTACACACACCTCTGGGTGCTTGGTGTCTGCCCATTGTGTTTGCCCTTGGCACTGGTGCTGGTGCCTGCCATCAGGAGATCTGTAAGCAGAACTGACAGGTCTGGCCCGCTCATCTTGACCTACAACCCCTCACCCTTAGGGCTGAGCAGGGAGCTGAAATCATTGTTCACTTCATGAATCAACCCATTGCCAGAGGCAGCAGGTTTCTCCGAGAAAACAAGGATCAAGTATACACCCAGCCACATTGGCTGCAGCTGGCTCTTGTCTATAAGTGCCACCTACTAGCTTGTAGTTCAAACTGCACGGCTTAATTAAAACTTGCCAAAAAAGGGCATAAGGCTATAGAAGCAAAGCCAAACGACAATATCCAGGATTCTCTACACTCACACCTCCTAGGCAGGAGTGGGAAAGGAAGGGAAAGAAAGAAAAAATAATAATATTTTAGGGACAGAGAGAAAAAGAACAAATCCTATTTGAAAGAAAATAATTACAAAAATTAGAAGTGATAGTTTCTCCAGTTGAGAAGAAACTAGCACAAGAATTTGGGCATCATGAAAAATCAGAATGTGTGACACCAGCAAAGGATCACACTACCTCTCCAGCAATGGACCCTAATCAAAATGAAAACTTGGAAATGAAAGTTAAAGAACTCAAGGCATGGTTGCAAATAAGTTCAACGAGATTCAGTATAAGGTTGAAAGTCAACACAAAGAAACTTTCAAAGCAACCCAGGAAATGAAGAAAAAGATAAACATCCCTAAAAAAAATCAATCAGAGCTTTGGGAATTAAAAAACTCACTTAAGAAACTTCAAAATATAATTGAAAGCTTTATCAGTAGACTGGACCAGGCAGAAGAAATAATTTCAGAGCTTGAAGTTTTCTCTTCCAAATTAACCAAGTCAGACAAAAGTATTCAAGAAATAAAAGACTGTGAAAAGTGACCATCTCTAAAATTATTAGCATTCTAGAGAGAGAAAGAGAAAAAGCAAAGAACCTGGAAAATATATTTGAGAAAATAGTTTAAGAAAGTGTCCCTAATGTTGCTGGAGAGGGAGACATCTAGGTACAAGAAATCCAGAGAACACCTGCATTACTCTATACAAAATGAACATCACCAAGGCATATCTTTACCAGACTGTCCAAGGTAAATGCTATAGAAAAAATCTTAAAGAAAGCTACAGAAAAAAACTCAGATCATGTACAAAGGGAACCTCATCAGGCTAACAGTAGGCTTCTCAGTAGAAACCTTATAAGCCAGTAGAACTATTTTCAGTATTCTTAAAAAAAAGAGAGATTCCCATCGAGCATTTTATATTCAACCAAATTAATCTTCATAAGTGAAGGAGAAATAAAATATTTTCCAGGCAAGAAAAAGAAAAGCCATCCACATAGGAAAAAAAGAAGTCAAACTATTTCTCTTCTCAGATGATGTGATTCTATACCTAGGAAACCCTAAAGAGTTTGTCAAAAGGCTCCTGGAACTGATAAACAACTTCAGTTAAGTTTCAGGATAAAAAAAATACATGTACAAAACTCGTGTCTGTACACCAATAACTTTCAAGCTGAAAGCCAAATCAAGAATGCAATTCCATTTAAAGTAGACCAAAAAAAGATACCTAGAAATGCATTCAACCAAGGAGATAAGCAATCTCTACAAGAAGAACTATAAAACACTGCTAAAAATAATCATAGATGATACAAACAAATGGAAAAACATTCAGTGCTCATGGATTTGAAGAATTAATATTGTTAAAATGGTCATATGCCTCAAAGAAATCCATGTATTCAACGCTATTTCTATCAAACTTTCAGTGTCATTTTTCACAGAACTAGAAAAAAACCCACATAGCTTAAAACCAAAAAATAGCTCAAATAGCCAAAGCAATCCTAAGCAAAAAGGAAAAAAGCTGAAGGCATCTCATTACCCAATTTCAAGATATACTAAAAGGCTGTCATAACCACAACAGTATGGTACTGGTACAGAAAGAGACACATAGACCAATGCAACAGAATAAAGAACACAGAAATGAAGCTGCACACCTACAGTCATCTGATATTTGACAAAGTTAACAAAACTAAGCAATGGGGAATGCACTCCCTATTCAATAAATGGTGTTGGGATAGTTGGAAAGCCATATTCAGAAGAATGAATTTGTACCCCTACCTTTCACTATATGCAAAAATTAACTCTCAAAGAACTAAAGATGTAAAACCTCAAACTATAAGAATTCAAGAAGAAATCCTGGAAAACACCACTCTGGTTGTCAGCTTTGGGAAGGCTTGCTTTCAGCCTTAAAAACAGTTGCCACAAAAACAAAAATTGAGCTGGGCACAGTGGCTCACACCTGTAATCCTAGCTGTTCAGGAGGCCGAGGCAGGTGGCACCTGAGGTCAGGAGTTTTAAGACCAGAGTGACCAATGTGGTGAAACCCCGTCTCTACTAGAAATACAAAAATTAGCCAGGCGTAAGCGCCTGTAGTCCCAGCTACTCAGGAGGCTGAGGCAGAAGAATCACTTGAACCTGGGCGGCGGAGGTTGCAGTGAGTCAAGATCATGCCATTGCACTCCAGCCTGGGCAACAGAGCAGGACTCCATCTGAAGGAAAAAAAAAAAAAGGGCAAGTTGGTCTTAATTAAACTAAAATGCTCCTGCACAGCAAAAGAAATTATCAAGGGAGTACACAGACACTTACAGAATGAAAGAAAATATCCAGAATCAATAAAGAACTTAAGCAAGTCAACAAGCAAGAAAACAAATAACCCCATTAAAAATGGGGCAGAAATATAAACAGACACTTCCAAAATAAGAGATATAAGTGGCCAACAAATGTATGAAAAAATGCTCGTCATCACTAATCATCAAAGAAATGCAAATGAAAAACCACAATGTGATACCATCTCACACCAGTCAGAATGCCTATTATTAAAAATAAAAAAAAAAAACAGATGCTGGTGAGGGTGCAGAGAGAAGGGAACACTTACACACTTATACAGTGTTGGTGGGGTTGTACATTAGGTCAGCCACTGTGGAAAGCAGTATGGAGCTTTCTCAAACAACTTAAAACAGAACAACCATTTGACCCAGCAATCCCATTAGTGGGTATATATCCTAAAGAAAACAAAGTGTTCTACCAAAAAGACACCAGTATTCACATGTTCACTGAAGCACTATTCACAATAGCAAAGACATGGAATCAACCGAAGTGCCCATCAGTGGTGGACTGGATAATGAAAATGTGGTACCTATACACCAGGGAATACTATACAGCCATAAAAAAGAACAAAATTATGTTCTGTGAATCAACAGAAGCAACTGGAAGCCATTGTTCTAGTAAATTAAGGCAGAAAAGAAAACCAAATATTGCTAGTTACTGAGCAAGTCACTGGCAAGGCCTACGTTCAAATGTAGGCCCACGCTTACTCAGGTGTACCACATGATTTCCCAATTATTTATCTTCTCTTCTTTTCTACTTGTCAGGATTTATGTGACTACAGTGGAACTGCTTGGATAGTCCAGAATAATCTATTTTAAATTCAAGTAATCATTAACCTTAATTAAATGATAAATTCATTTTGCTCTGTAAGGCAATGTATTCAAAATAGTGGTGTTTCATCATATTGATAGTCAAAAGGATTAGGGTATATAATCTTCTTAGGGAAAATAATTCTACCAATCACACCACCATTAAGCTAACCTAAGACTCCAGTTACCATAATATTTTAAAACTGTGGCTGGTACACTTGTCATTTATCATCCAAATTAGGCAAGAAAGTACCAAGAGGCACACTGGTAATCCCTGTATGCCAAACATGTTTTTCCCTGTCCTTGAGGCACAACAGCACACAGTATGAACAGGGTTGATAACTTCTGCCAGGATGATAACTCACTTTCTTGCTTGCTGTTCTCCTACCACAAGTAGTCTAAAGTGACTGGGAAACAATGAGAACTTATCATTTAGTGAGACACTTGCTATGTTCCCTTGTAGAAGTGTTCCCACCCTGGGAACCAGGGGCTCTATACAGACACAACCCAGAGTTGTAGATTTGGAAAGCACAATTTCCCCAGGAGTCACTAGAAGCAATCATAAGCGTGTCACTTCTACTTTCAGCCTGAGTTCCAGACTCATGTATTCTACCTGTTGGAATACAACATCATATAATTATCTTCTTGGATATACATTGAATCTCAGAGAACGGTATGGTATCCTTGGATGGAGTCTTTTCCAAACTGACCCCTCAGCTAAATCTTCATAAGGCTATTCTGTTTCTATGCTAGGTGAGCAAGTTTTGGGAGGTGTGTTACCTAATAGTGTATATTGCTGTACTTTCCTCTCATTTACAGTGGGTTTCCACTCTAATTCAAATTCAATATGAGGTTATGCATTGGGAGATTAAAAAATACTATAAACTGTCAGTTCATGGTACTGGCTGAGAGACTGAAGACCAAAGGCAAACTCATACTCAGAATACATGTCAATTCCAGTTATGATGAATGGCTTTGCTTTCCAAGATAGAAAATGTCCAAGGTAATTAACTTACCTCCAGGTAACTGGTTGGTCTCCTCAAAGGATGGCACCGTACTGGAACCCAGTGTTAATCTCTTTCATTGTCCGCTTGAGCATTTAGTAGCTGTAATAGGAGGATCAGCCTTGATGTCAGAAACCCATGTTCTTGGGCCTGTACATCACCTTGATTTTCTCAACCCTTTCAAACACCTGAGATATTGCACGAACTAGTGCATTCCTTTACAAAGGTATTCCACCAAGTTCAACGCAAAGAAAATTTTGCCAGTTGTATATACTAGTATAGCAAGCTAAGGACTATCAGTATCATACATACTGTCATTGATGTTAGCTTCATTGCCAGCTGGTCGGGGGGATACATAATCCAGCTTTAAGATTTTAATTTAAAATCTGTTTTCTTGGCCTGGCACGGTGGCTCAGGCCTATAATCCCAGCACTTTGGGAGGCGGAGATGAGTGGATCATGAGGTCAGGAGTTAGAGACCAGCCTGGTCAATATGGTGAAACTCTGTCTCTACTAAAAATACAATAATTAGCTGGGCGCGGGTGCACACGCCTGTAGTACCAGCTACTCAGGAGGATGAGGCAGAAGAATCGCTTGAACCCAGGAGGTAGGGGTTGCAGTGAGCCGAGATCACTCCATTGCACTACAGCCTCGGCGACAGAGCGAGATTCCCCCTCTTAAAAAAAAAAATCTATTTTCTTGAACTACCATTAATACCCACAGTCTTAGTTTGGGTTACCCAAGAAACAAATTCTTTGATGAGATTCACAGGTAAGAAGTTCTTAGAAAAATGTTTTCAGGGACAACACCTATAGAAGTGAAGAAGCAGATTGAGTAGGGAAAGGGATTAAAGTGTGATACAGCTGCAATAAAGTTCTCAAAGGGAGCTCTGGAACTTGGATTATCTTTCAAAGTTTCCTGTTGGAGTAAAGGAGTCATATTTTGTTCCCCTACATAAACGATTGATTGAATTCTGACTAGTCCTATAGTGAAAATTCACCTTGGGTGAGGCTACTCCCTATTGCTGAGGGTAATTTCTGGAGAGGTATCCAACTATGAGCTATCAGCATTCAACTCTCCACTGCTATGTAATAAAGTCATTATTCTGGAATAGGAATCTAGGCATCAAACCACAGTGGACACTACACCTGTAAAATAGAGGAAAAAGGAAAAATTTGGGGGTTTGGGAGATTGGGAGTTATTTGTATTTATTTGTATAATTATTTTCACATATCTTATCATTTTGATTACACAGAGATTCATCTATAACAGAGGTCAGAAAACTTTTTCTTAAAGGCCTAGATAGTAAATATTTTAGACTTTATGGGCCGTATACAGTTTCTATTGCATATTCTCTTCATCACCTGCTTTGTACAACACTTCAAAATATATTAAAAACATGCTTAGCTTGCAGACCACAAGAAAAAAAGCATCAGCCAGGTTTGGCCCTCAGGCCATAGTTTGCCAATCCTGTTTTACACAGGTATTACATGTCAGCCAGCAATAATCCCCTATCTTTCACATTCTTTCATAGAATTCTAATATAATAATCAGATAAAGACCAACTAATATTTAGTGTGGCTTTTTATGTCTAAAACAAAATTGTAACTGTATCAATTCATTTCATTTTCGCAACTCTGTAAATAGTCTTATCATCCCTATTTATACATGAGAAAACTGTGACACAGAAAGGAGAAGTAACTTCTGTAAAGGCACATAACTAGTAGATATTGAAGCCAGCATTTCAATCTAGGAAATTTGACCCCAAAGTCCACAGTAATAACCATTGTGTATATTCTATATATTTCCATTTGTTAGGAAATGAAGACCAAGCTCCTCAGCATGATATATGAGACTTTTTATAATCTATAACCACTGCCTTTTAGGAAAACTGTTTGGTCTTCCAGATGCTGCTCAAGACTCGTCTTTTCTCTACTGTCTTACTTGTTTCTACCTCTTTCTTTACTTACCCACATTCTTATCCCCACTATATTAGTCCATTCTCACACTGCTATAAAGACTCACCTGAGACTGGGTGATTTATTAAAAAAAAAAAAAGAGGTTTAATTGACTCACAGTTCTGCATGGCTGAGGAGGCCTAGGGAAACTTACAATTATGGTAGAAGGGAAAGTGGGCACATATTACATGGCAGCAGGAGAGAGAGAGCAAGCAACAGCAAGGAAAACTGACTTATAAAACAATCAGATCTTGTGAGAACTCATTCACCGTCAGGAGAAGAGTATGGGTGAAACCACTCCCATGATCCAATCATCTCCCACCCGTTTTTCTCCCTGGATACGTGGGGATTATGGGAATTATAATTTGAGATGAGATTTGGGTGGGCAAACAGAGCCAAACCGTATTACCCACCATTATTGGTTCTTATTTATGTATTAAGACTCAGTACATGTCATCGTTTTTGGCAAATCTTCTTGACATTTCCACCCTAAATAAAAATCTGTCCATCTGCTTCTCCTTGTACTTTGTACATTTCTTAGCAGCTATAATATTATTTTATAAATATTCACGCCCACATCTACCTCCCTCCCTTTCTAGCTCAGCATTGCTTTTGGGATTTTTGTTCACTTGTTTGTTTGTTTTTCTGGTTTCAGGTTGCGCTCATTGATGTGGTGTGAAATTAATTTAGTGGGTTATAAAAAGCATTTTTAACAAAATGCAATAAAAATATCACATAGCATAGGTAAATATATTTCTATAAATTTTTTGTGTCAGTTTTCTCTCTCTCTCTCTCTGTGTGTGTGTGTGTGTGTGTGTGTGTGTGTGTGTGTGTGTATTTGAAGCCTGGAATTAGCTACCAACTATTAGGTCCCCATGATTTTTAAATATATATCCACCAAAGCCAACCAAGTTTGGAAAATGTGATCATTGTACCCAATATGATTATTCCTAATAAGTTCTTTAAGTTTTAGATGTTTGTTCTCAATTATAAATAATGTGTTGCAAAAAAATACTAGCACATATTGTACTTTAGTGAGCATTTTAAGCAATTAAAAAGTAGGTAATTCCGCCTGTAATCCCAGCACTTCGGGAGGATGAGGCGGGCAGATCACAAGCTCAGGAGTTTGAGACCAGCCTGACCAACATGGTGAAACCCTGTCTCTACTAAAAATACAAAAATTAGCTGGGTGTGGTGGCGCATGCCTGTAATCCCAGCTTCTCAGGAGGCTGAGGCAAGAGAATCACTTGAACCCAGGAGGAGGAGGTTGCAGTGAGCTGAGATCACGCCACTGCACTCCAGCCTGGGTGACAGAGCAAGACTCAGTCTAAAAAAAATTCGGTAATTTCTCCATATATCTGAAGGTGCCTGAAAATAATGTGAAGTATTGAGAAACTTGGAATTCCTAGATCATGCATTATGATTTACCTGGTAACCAAAATGTAACCAGCTGTTCTCCATCTCCTTTGATCATGTAAGGAAGAAAATTAACTTAACCTACCATTTAAGGGTTTACATTCAGTGTAAAATATCAGTATAAAATATTGTTATTTATGAAAAGTGGGAGTTCCCTTCCTGGAAGGCTTTAAGGAAGGGTTGCCAAAACTTTCTAATCACTTATGTTGATATCATCCAAAAATTGTTATGAGAACTGGATCTTTAAGGACTCTAAAATAATCACACTTATCAGCATAGTTAATGCCTGTAAAAACCTAGAAGGTTTTTCTGAATATGCAAGAGCCATCTGTGGACAATAATGCAATTACTCAGTTTGGCTAATCTCTTCAAGTTTCTTGAGAATACTCTATTCTCTGATGGTGTTTTTAATCAGACTTAACGTGTATTACTTATACGGTTGTGACCTTTGTGAGAAAAGAAAAAAAGCACCTAAATTTAAACAAAACCTGTCATTCTCTACATTCTCTGTGCAGAAACAATGTTAAGTTTAACCTGAAATGTTAAGAGTTTAATAACTTCTTGTTTTGCTCTTTTAAAGGGGGTATTTTCCAGCATTCTTTTTTTAAAAAAATAAAGAAAAAAACATTGAGTTTTTATTTATGTAATTATAAAATAGTGCTTGTACTCAAGTCAGGAGAGTAAAAGTGGGGGGGGTCACTAATATTCATTATTTGAAAGAATTTTTAGAATCACCTGAATTTGAGGTACTTGTCATGGCTATAGACCTGTTTTGATGATATTTTTAAAATTTTTATTCACTTTATGCAATAACATTCAGTTTTATTTAATGATAATTAGTGCATTTATAAATTAGAAACCTGTAAAACAATAATACCTACTTTGAATTCACCAGTATAACAGAAAGAAACTGGACATATCAATAATATAATAGCACTGGAATTTTTAATGAGAACATGATAATTAATGACTTTTTAGAAACAATCTTAAACATGTTATTTATAAATGATATCAAGGTAAAATAGTAGTAACTTAGAAAACAGCAGATAAGGATGTAAAACAAAATGAAATTCTCAATTTGTCATGTTAATTAGTGTACTTACTCTCTCACTTGTCTTTCTATGAGAAGAGATTATAGCATCTTCACAGCAACTCAGGGGAAAGTAAATGATTGAAAAGTAGATTGATTTTCTTTACTGATTTACATGTGTTTTTAAGTTTTCATAGGGGCTTAAAGCATTTGGTTGCTGCATTAGTCCATTCTCACCCTCTATAAAGAAATATCTGAGACTGGGCAATTTATAAAGAAAAGAGGTTTAATTGGCTCATGGTTCTGCAGGCTGTGTAGGAAGCATAGTGGATTCTGGGGAAGCATCAGGAAACTCTCAACCCTGGCAGAAGGCAAAGGGGGAGCAAGTGTGTCTTACATGGCCAGTGCAGGAGGAAGAGAGATAAGGGTGAGGTGCTATACACTTTTAAAAACCAGATCTTGTAAGCACTCACTCCTTGTAACAAGAGCAGCACTGAGGGGGAAAATCCTTCCTCATAATCCAATAACCTCCCACCAAGCCCCACCTCCAAATGGGGATTATAATTTAACATGAGATTTGGGATGGGACACAGAACAAAATCATATTATTCTACCCTTGGCCCCCTCAAAATCTCACGGCCTTCTCACATTGCAACACACAATCATGTCTTCCCAACTGTCCCCCAAAGTTTTAACTCATTCTAACATTAACTCAAAAGTCCAAAGTCTCACCTGAGACAAGGCTAATCCCTTCCAGCTATGAGCCCATAAAATCAAAAACAAGTAAGTTACTTCCAAGATACAATGGAGCTATAGCAATTGAGTAAATATTCCCATTCCAAAATGAGGAGATCAGCTAAAAGAAAGTGGCTACAGGCCCCATGCATGTTCAAAACCCATCAGGGAAGTCATTAAATCTTAAAGCTCCAAATAATCTCCTTTGATTCCATGTCTCACATCCAGGATACACTGATGCAAGGGGTAGGCTCCTGAGGTCTTGAGTAGCTTCACCGCTGTGATTTTGCAGGGTTCTGCCCCCACAGCTGATGGTGTTGAGTGTCTGCATCCCTTTCAGGCACATGGTGCAAGCTGTCAGTGGCTCTACCATTCTGGTTTCTGGAGGATGGTGACCCTCTTCTCACAGCTCCAGTATCCCAGTAAGAACTCTACATGGGGGCTCCAACCCCATATTTTCCCTTCTCACTGCCTAGTAAGAGTTCTCCATGAGGGTTCCAGCCCTGCAGCAGGCTTCTGCCTGGACAACCAAGCATTTTCATGCATCCTCTGAAATCTAGGCAGAGGCTCCCAAGCCTCAACCCTTGCAACTGTGTACCAATAGACTTAATACCATGTGGAAGTTGCCAAGGCTTATGGCTTTTACCCTCTGAAGCAGTGGCCCTTTTAGCCATAGTTGGAGCTGAAGTGGCTGGAATGCAGGGAGCAGTGTCCCAGGCTGTGCATGACAGTGGGGCCCTGGGCTTGGCCTATGAAACCATTCTTCCCTTCTAGGCCTCAGGCCTGTGATGGGAGAGGCTGTTGAAGAGGTCTCTGAAGTGCCTCTTAGGCCTGTTTCTCATTATCTGATTATTAGCAATTGACTTCTATTTGCTTTTGCAAACTTCTACAGCCTGCTTGAATTCCTCCCCTGAAAAATGGATTTTTCTTTTCTATGACATGGCCAGGCTGCAAATTTCCAAACTTTTACACTCTGTGTGCCTTTTAGATATAAGTTTCAGTTTCAGATAATTTCTGTGTTCCTGCATATGAGCATGGGCTTTTAGAAACAGCCAAGCCACATCTTGAACACTTTACTTACAAATTTCTTCTGCCAGATACCTTAAATCATCTCTCTCAAGTTCAAAGTTCCACATATCCCTAGAACAGGTGCACAATGCTGACAGTCTCTTTGCTAAAGCATAGCAAAAGTGCCTTTACTTCAGTTCCCAATAAGTTCTTCATTTCCATCTGAGACCTCCTCAGCCTGAACTTCACTGTCCATATTACTATCAGCATTTTGGTGACAACCATTCAACAAGTCTCTAGGAAGTTCCATACTTTCCCTTGTCTTCCTGTCTTCTTCTAAGTTCTCCAAACTCTTCCAACCTCTGCCCATTACCCAGTCCCAAAGCTGCTTCCACATTTTTTTAATCTTTATAGCAATACCCTTCTCCTTGGTACCAATTTTCTGTATTAGTTTATTCTTGCACTGCTAAAAATAAATACATGAAACTGAGTAATTTAAAATGAAAAGAGATTTAATTGGCTCACAGTTCTACAGGCTTTATAGGAAGCATAGTAGCTTCTAGGGAGGCCTCAGGAAACTTTCAATCATGGCAGAAGGTGAAGAGCAAGAAATAGAGGGAGAGGTGCTACACACTTTTAAACAACCAAATCTCATGCTAACCCAGTCACTGTCATGACAGTAGCACCTAAGAGGAAATCCGTTCCCATAATTCAGTCACCTTCCACAAAACCCCACCTCCAACACTAGGGATTACAATTTGACAAGAGATGTCTGTCGGACCACAGCTCCAAACCATATCAGTTGCTATGGTTGTTGTTTACTTGTTCTTAATAGCCTTTTGAATGGAGAATAGGTGAGTTATTGAGATATGAGAAGTTAGTAGATGTGTTGTTAGAAACTTGGCATTTCAGTAGAGGATCATCTATTCCAAGAATTTTACCCTTACCCTAAGACACATAAAATAGGTGTATAATTTAATATGAGAGAGAAAGGTACACAAGGCCATACTTAATTTCTGGCCCATTAATTCTAACCTACAATCCTTTTTTTCTCTTTTAGTCAAGAGAGCTTATCTAGAAGCTGAAGAAAATTCAAGTAAAATTATTAAAATGTGAGCCTTTAATCCAGTCTATTAAAAATATGTATTTCTCGAACTTTACTATTTTAACTTTTATTTGTAATAAATTACTCGGTATGCCTCACAACCAATCCCAACACATCAGAGTGTTACTAATCATATCCAACACATTTTAGCAAAGTTCCTTGTGCAGTTGTAATGGGGGGCCACTTTAAGATACATCTCCGTTGCTCACATCAAAACTGAAATATTGCCCTTTAAATCCAGTTTAAGTAATTTTATGCAAGGATGGCTGAAGACTGAAGCTTCCTTAAGCTATTCTGTTCATAACTCTGACTTTGAAAGCTGATAAAGTGATTCACTCAGGCTGCTGTACAAACTGAATAACTGCTCACTGTGCCAGGATAAGGATTAGACACAATACCCTGTGTCAGGGCATAGATCTTAGGCAGGAGAGAAAGAACATCAGCGCTTGGGTATTGCCATTAAGAGACTCAGATTTATTCTTAACCCCTCCTTGGATAGAAAGACTAATGATACATTTATAAAGAAGCCTGAAAGCATTCTTAAAGTGAGTGATTTTTCTGCATTTCAAACCAGAGTTTCACATAGGTCTCAAAGCTAGCCAAGATAAAATGTCAAAAATATGAACACAAAGAATTTGTGTGTGCAAGTACGTGATGTCATTAGCCTGTAAAGATGTCATTCTACTTAAGATGACCTTCCAACCAGATGATTTTCCTGACCCAGATTTTTCACTTTAATAGTGCCATTTTCTTCCTACCTGTCTAAATGCTGATTTGGTTTTCATCTATATGTGTCAGAAAATAAATCTGAAAACAATATTTCCTACTTTTTAGACATCATCAATAAAGTTATAAAAAAACACGTTTCTGCAAGTAAAAAACTATTAACTCTTCTTAGAATAAAACTGGAGCATTCTATAAGGCAGCTTCCCTATAAAATCTTGAAAGGGTCAAAAATTCTTGCCAGGTAATGAGTTCTAGAATTTGGATTGCAGGACTGAACTAATGCTAGTTAATCTACTTAAAGCACCTTCAAGAAGAGCATATTCTTAGAGAGTACTTAGGGTCCAGCCAGAGACACTGAAATCAGCCTGCTTGCCAGCTGCAACTATACTGATATAACAAATTTAAGGGCCAGAAGCCAAACAGAAAGTAAAAACAGAACACAAGTAGGGTTGGGGGCCAAGCACAAAGGATTATGGGCAATTGATTTAAATAAATTTTAATGAATTATTTTAATGAATAATAAAAAAAACTGAGTTCAGAAAATGAATAAACCTGGCTTAAAAGTATGAGGATATCAGGCAAAAATTCTGAAGATATTATTAAAAACTTTCTTCGGATAGACACTGGCTTTATGCAAAAATAACGTGTGATTTAAGGGTTTTAAAAACAGTTTTCTTCTTAAAACCATCTGATTTCTTGACCAGTCACATTCCTAGTGCTTCTGTATGTCTTTGTAATATTATGGATGTTCCTTCACTTCCCATAATTCCTGAGAGGGACAGTGTAACATAACTACAGAATGTCATATCCTGGAAATAGCTGATTGGCCTAGTAATGCACATTTAATCCAAAACTTGGCAATCCGTTGCCTAATCAAGGATCAATGATAGTATCTTTCTCAAAAAAGAAA
This sequence comes from Homo sapiens, assembly GCF_000001405.40. Classification (NCBI taxonomy): domain Eukaryota; kingdom Metazoa; phylum Chordata; class Mammalia; order Primates; family Hominidae; genus Homo; species Homo sapiens. The sequence continues at coordinate 56,976,972 of NC_000010.11, forward strand.
TTAGATATATCTTAACTGTACTTAGTGATTGGAAGGTGCTTAAGGTGAAAGGCTATGTTGACACTAAGATTTCCAAACATCTAGTATATTTAGATAACTAAGGAAAAGAAGCCAATTCAGATAAGGGGAGTGAAGCAGATGTAAAGAGACAGAGGTTCTAAAAAAGGTGAGAGCAACATGGGAAGTCTGTCTGCCTTGGTATTTGACAGCTTATCAGGTTTCAGCTATAATTTGTGTGAAGCCTACCTGCATATAATTTGTTCAGTGACATCTCCATATCCTTACATCAAATCCACCCTTCTTTATTTGTGCAAACCAGAATGGACTTATATCTCTTTCACCCAAAAAGGCTTCAGATAAAGAGCATAATTATTAGAGTAATTCTTACACATTATCTCCAGTATTTTCAGAGGGCACTGAGTGGTCAAAGAAGTTATGTAAAGAGAAAGGTAACTCTGGGAAAGAGCACAGAAAAGGAATTAAAGAAAATACTAAGGATAAATTACGGCAAAATCAACATTTTCGTGGAAGTTCAGCCTTTGTACTCTGAACTATTTGTGCTGGAACATATGTACATTTGCCAAAAAAAAAGTGTAAAATATCATAGATTCATCATGTGGCTTTAAATTACTGTAATTTTTAATGGGCTTATAATTAATTTCACTCACAGCTTATAATTGATCAAAATGATTGTCTATTTATCCATATTCTTTTTCCCTTATATTCCTTGTTCTCCACATTTACAAAGATTCTTTTCTATTCTCCTCAAGGAAAATGCTGGAATATCTTATTTCTTTACACGACAAGATGAATTCTAGCTGAGTTTTAATACAATTGAGCAGGTAAAGTGAAAAGGGACAATTTCCTTATTTTCATAATGAAAAAAATAGAAAATTGGGTAATTTTTCCTCTGAGTTTTTAGGAGAAGAAAGATCCAAAGGGAAAATGTACTGCCGAAAGAAAGACTTTTTAAAAAAATCAATACTTGTTGACTGCAATATGCAAAATTATGAATAAGAAAGAATAGCCAGAAATTCTTGTTCATCAGACAGGTATTTCCAAATTCAAAACAGAGGCCCCAAAATAAGACCTCTAGGAAATGGCAAAATTGGTGTTTGAAAACCATGTAAGGCTTTCTTTCTTTTAAAGAGTGAATAGTAGAGTACGGAGGTTTTTTTGAAGTTGTCTTGTTCAATTTCTGTATTTAAGTATGTATGTGTGTGGTGTTTTGTTTTCTCCCTTTTTATACACTTGAGTAAATTAGTGAGATAGATATATATATATATGTGTGTGTGTGTACACATATATATATAGTTCATTAAAACTATTAGATCTTATGTTTATATATCATTTTTCTGTCTTTTTTTTTTTTTTTTTTTGAGACAGAGTCTCACTCTGTCACCCAGGCTGGAGTGCAGTGGCACAATCTCAGCTCACTCCAACCTCCACCTCCAGGGCTCAAGTAATTCTCCTGCCTCAGCCTCCCAAGTAGCTGGGATTACAGGTGCGTGCCACCACACCAGCTAATTTTTGTGTTTTTAGTAGAGACAGGTTTTCACCATGTTGGCCAGTCTGGTCTCCAATTCCTGACCTCAGGTGATCTGCCTGCCTTCCCTCCCACAGAGCTGGGATTACAGTCATGAGCCACTGTGCCTGACCCTGTCTTCTAAATTATCAATAGTTCCTTTACTTTCTTCTTTCCTTGTTTTTGATGTAGGAATCCAAGCTTGCTGGACCACTGGAGAGCTGGAGATGGACTGATGGTTAGGGACATCTGGGCATAGATTACCTTCCTAACTCCCACCCTATAAAAATAGGATCTTGGTGGTGCTAAGTATGATGCAAGAATCAGGAGAGCTTAATGTTTGTAAACAGATCATTGAAGAGAAGCACTTACATTGGTAGCATAAGAATATTGATGTACAGAGCCTGAATACAAAAGACTAAATTTCACAGATTTTTCTTAACGCTTTTAGAGTCCTACATGTGTAGACAGTGTTTTCAATAGCCTCATGCCTTGTAGGAAAACCAACAACAAAGGAAAATAGAGACCAAGATAAGCTACACCTGTATGTATTCTCCATGACCAGTTTCAGCCTTTTAAGTACGTATCCTTGATTACATATGCCAGCCATTTATTAGAATATATGAAATGTGTGTGGTCTCTTAAAATCAACTTGTAATCAAACTGAAATATTTAGTTCTTCTTCCAATGTTTATAAAGTATTTTTTTAATTCTTTTTTTTCTTCCTAGTTAAAATAATTTGTTTGAAACTTTGAGATGTTTTTCCATGCGCACAGATTTAGCTATGGCTCTTGGACTTTAATTGTGGGGTACTTTCATTACTTTTATTTCCAGGTTGTCCTTTTGTTTTAATGGCCAATGAGAATTAGGGTATCAATAGATTATAGATAAATAGATAGATAGATAGATAGATAGATAGATAGATAGATAGATCGATAGATAATATATTGTTCTGGATTTTTAAAGTTATTTTTAATTATTACTTTCTAATTGTATTGCAATGCTAACAGAAAATCATCCAAAACTTTATCTTATCCTTTTCAGGAATAGACTACTCCTCTGACTACAGGCATTTTAGAATAGTTACAGAAGAAAAAGCAGAGGCCAAGTTCACCATTTATGTCTGTTCAAAAACCAGCTAAGTTATGTCCTTCTTCATGATCTCCTAAAACTCCCATCGCGTACTTTCTAGGGAAAGAAAAGCAGGTATAACACCATTCAGTATGTAGTTCTCCAAGTGAAACTCTAAGGGGAAAATATTAAATAGGACTTGGATAGGTGGGAAGGAAGTTAAGTAGCTTATTGGGCAAATGTTAAACAAAAAAAGCTGGAATGGTTATATTAATTTCAGACAAGGCCCAAATCAAGAGAAAAATGGCAAAGCAGATAAAAACACCATTTAATTATGATTACAAAACCCCATCAATCATATTCTACCAATAGTATAGCATCAATAAAAGCATACATCTTAGGCCACACAAAGAGAAGCATAATATTGTAGATTATTGAAATTTACTCAATTTTTATATATTTGGTGGATAAAAAATTAAGTAAATACATAGAATATGTATCTGTTAATCCAGTGGCTTGCCATGACATACAAGAGCCTCCTTCTAACGCCTTACACTCCTGCCCATCTCTCCACCTGAAATCATACACATGTCCAATACTTCAAGTTTCTTAAACAATGTGTCATTGCTTCCAGTTTGCATTCCCACCATTCTGCCTTGGGGAATGCTTTTTCTTCTCTTTGGAGTGCACTTATCATCTCCTTACTCCACTTAAGCTAATTCCACTGTTAAAATTATGCCAATATATGTAAGGTAGTACCTTGGGATAAGTAGAAGCATGGGTTATGGAGTCAGACCTGGTTAAGATCTCATTTACTGCAAGATATTTGAAATGGTATTTAACCTACAATGTCTCATTGTCCGTGTTTGTAAACTAAGAATAGTAACAACTTAACTCATAGGCCTATGCTGAGAATTAAATGAGAATATTCTATACTGGAAAAACATGCAAACAAGTTATTAAACATATTGGACTATTAAAGTATGTTGTTTTAAGGCAGTATAAAACATATTAGAAATTGTCATTTAATCTGTTAAAATCTCCAGACATACACATACACATACACACACACACAACCAAAAATATTTTAAATTTCACTAATACACTAAATCTGAAATCCTGGCCAATGGTCAGACAAGACCAATAACTTATTATATTTAATCTTAAATCATTTCTAGTAGATTGTGCCTATAATGATCAAAAGTATTAGAGTGCCCTGTAGAAGAAGAATTTCTTATAAATAAATAATTTTAAATATGTATAAGGTAAACACATTTCCTCCCGTCTTCATATTGAAACCTAAATTAGCACATCAAAGAACTTAATAAACCTATTATTTTGGGGAATAAACTTACTCTATTTAAACTTGAGACAGATAATACTCTAGATAATATTCAAGATCTCAAATGAAAGCCAATCAAATAAACTGCATGTCAAGCCTACATTCAAAAATCTTCATTCACATCTCTAAAGGTGGAATTATAATGCTTATATAGTTAATCTTCCTCTATAACATTAGGAAAAGCAGTCCTTTGAGGCATCCAGGTGATCCTAAGTTTCAACATCTTCAGAAACCCAACTCATACAATGTAGAGTCCAAATTTCCATTCTATCCTTATTTCCAGATGGAACAGTCAAAATCAAGATTTACATATGAATTTATTACATTTAAATAATTTGGGTACAATGATAAATTTCATTGAGTTTAACACTTTCGACGTTTTCTAATTATTCAAAAATATATATGCTTATTTAAGAGACTTTTAGTATGCAGAAATATTTAAGGAAAAATAAATACCATTTATTCTACTGGTATTCAGGACAGTTCCTATTAATATTTTGCTACTTTTATTTACTAACTTGCTTACATATTTTTGTGAGTATTGTGTGTTCGTTGACAGACGACTGATTGTTTTCAATGTCAAAAGCTATAATCAATTTGCAGCTTTCCATGTAAACTAACAAATTGCCCTCCCGAAAAATTTCTGCAAATTTATAATCTAGCCAGCAGGCTTAAGAGCATTTGTTTCTCCACAACTTTACCAACACTGCATAATATTACAAAATATCATTAGTTTTCTTAACATCTTGGTATGTAATTAAAAGATAAAGTCAATGATGTTAATATTAGCATTCGATTAATTGACTGTGTTTCTTTGGTTATTCTATTTTAAGAATCTTTGCTGTTTTTCTACTGAAAGAAAAACATTTTATTATTAAATTATAACAGTCTATATATATATTATACTTTGTGTTCTGGTATACATGTTCAGAAAGTGCAGGTTTGTTACTTAGGTATACACATGCCATGATGGTTTGCTCTACCCCTTGACCCATCTTCTACATTAGGTATTTTTCCTCATGCTATCCCTCCCCTAGCCCCCAATCCCATGACAGGCCCTGGTGTGTGATGTTCCCCTCCCTGTGTCCATGTGCTCTAATTGTTCAAATCCCACTTATGAGTGAGAACATGCGGTGTTTGGTTTTCTGTTCCTGTGTTAGTTTGCTGAGAATGATGGTTTCCAGCTTTATCCATGTGCCTGCAAAGGACATGAACTCATCTTTTTATGGCTGCATAGTATTCCATGGTGTATATGTGCTACATTTCCTTTATCCAGTGTATTACTGATGGGCATTTGTGTTGGTTCCAAGTCTTTGCTATTGTGAATAGTGCTGCAATGAACATACGTGTGCATGTGTCCTCATAGGAGAATGATTTATAATCTTTTGGGTATATACCCAGTAATAGGATTGCTGGGTCAGTTGGTATTTCTGGTTCTAGATCCTTGAGGAATCATCACATTGTCTTCCACAATGGTTGAACTAATTTGCACTCCCACCAACAGTGTAAAAGCGTTCCTATTTCTTCACATCCTCTCCAGCATCTGTTGGTTCCTGACTTTTTAATGATCTTCATTCTAACTGGAGTGAGATGGTATCTCATTGTGGTTTGGGTTTTAATTTCTCTAATGACCAGTGATTATGAGCTTTTTTCCATAGGTTTGTTGGCTACATAAATCTCTTCTTTTGAGAAGTGTCTGTTCATACCCTTTGCCCGCTTTTTGATTTTTTTCTTGTAAATTTGTTTAAGTTCCTTGTAGATTTTGGACATTAGCTCTTTGTCAGTTGGATAGATTGCAAAAATTTTCTCCCATTCTCTAGGTTGCTTGTTCACTACGATGATAGTTTCTTTTGCTGTGCGGAAGCTTTTAGTTTAATTAGATCCCATTTGTCAATTTTGGCTTTTGTTGCCATTGCTTTTGGTGTTTTAGTCATGAAGCCTTTGCCCATCCCTATGTCCTGAATGGTATTGCCTAGGTTTTCTTTGAGGGATTTTATGGTTTTAGGTCTTACATTTAAGTCTTTAATCCATATTGAGTTAATTTTTGTATAATGTATAAGGAAGCGGTCCAGTATCAGTTTTCTGCATATGGCAGGCCAGTTTTCCCAACACCATTTATTAAATAGGGAATCCTTTCCTCATTGCTTGCTTTTGTCAGGTTGGTCAAAGATCAGATGGTTGTAGATGGGTGGTATTATTTCTGAGGCCTTTGTTCTGTTACATTGGTCTATATATCTGTATTGGTACCAGTAACATGCTGTTTTGGTTACTGTAGCCTTGTAGTATAGTTTGAAGTCAGGTAGCATAAAACCTCCGGCTTTCTTCTTTGTGCTTAGGATTGTATTGGCTACATGGGCTCTTTTTTGCCTCCATAAGAAATTTAAGGTAGTTTTTTCTAATTCTCTGAAGAAAGTCAGTGGTAGCTTGATAAGGATAGCAATGAATCTATAAATTACTTTTGGCAGTATTGCCATTTTCATGATATTGATTCTTCTTATACATGAGCATGGAATGTTTTTCCATTTGTTTGTGTCCTCTCTTATTTCCTTGAGCAGTTCCCCTTGAAGAGGTCCTTCACATCCCTTGTAAGTTGTATTTCTAAGTATTTCACTATCTTTGTAACAATTATGAATGGGAGTTCACATATAATTTGGTTCTCTGTTTGTCTATTATGGTGTATAGGAATGCTTGTGATTTTTACACATTGATTTTGTATTCTGAGACTTTGCTGAAGTTGCTTATCAGCCTAAGGAGATTTGGGGCTGAGACGATGGGGTTTTATAAATATACAATCATGTCATCTGCAAACAGAGATAATTTGACTTCCTCTCTTCCTATTTGAATACTCTTTATTTCTTTCTCTTGCCTGATTGCCATGGCCAGAACTTCCAATTCTATGTTGAATAGGAGTGGTGAGAGAGGACATCTTTGTCTTGTGCCAGTTTTCAAAGGAAATGCTTCCAGCTTTTGCCCATTCAGTATGATATTGACTGTGGGTTTGTCATAAATAGTTCTTATTATTGAGATACGTTGCATCAATACCTAATTTATTGAGAGTTTTTAGCATGAAGGGGTGTTGAATTTTATTGAAGGCTTTTTCTGCATCTATTGAGATAATCATGTGGTTTTTGTCATTGGTTCTGTTTATGTGATGGATTATTTTTATTGATTTGCATATTTTGAGCCAGCCTTGCATCCCAGGGATGAAGCTGACTTGACCATGGTGAATAAGCTTTTTGATGTGCTGCTAGATTTGGTTTGCCAGTATTTTATTGAGGAATTTCACATTGATGTTAATCAGGGATATTGGCCTGAAATTTTCTTTTTTTGTTGTGTTTCTGCCAGGATTTGGTATTAGGATGATGCTAGTCTCATAACATGAGTTAGGGAGGAGTCCCTCCTTTTCTATTGTTTAGAACAATTGTAGAAGGAATGGTACCAGCTCCTCTTTGTATCTCTGATAGAATTCAGCTGTGAATTCTACCAACTGTCTGGTCCTGGGTTTTTTTTCGTTGGTAGGCTATTAATTATTGCCTCAATTTCAGAACTTGTTATTGGTCTATTTAAGGATTCAACTTCTTCCTGGTTTAGTCTTGGGAAGGTGTATGTGTCCAGGAATTTATTCATTTCTTCTAGATTTTCTAGTTTATTTGCATAGAGGTGTTTATAGTATTCTCTGATGGTAGTTTGTATTTCTGTGGGATCAATGGTGATATCTCCTTTATCATTTTTTATTGTGTCTATTTGATTCTTCTATCTTTTTTTCATTAGTCTGGCTAGTGGTCTATCTATTTCGTTTATCTTAAAAAAAACAGCTCCTGGATTCATTGATTTTTTAAGGGGTTTTTGTGTCTCTATCTCCCTCAGTTCTGCTCTGATTTTAGTTATTTCTTGTCGTCTGCTAGCTTTTGAATTTGTTTGCTCCTGCTTCTCTAGTTCTTTTAATTGTGATACTAGGGTGTCAATTTTAGATCTTTCCCACTTTCTCCTGTGGGCATTTAGTGCTATAAATTTCCCTCTAAATGCTGCTTTAAGTGTGTCCCAGAGATTCTGGTACATTGTGTCTTTGTTCTTATTGGTTTCAAAGAACATCTTTATTTCTGCCTTAATTTCGTTATTTACCCAGTAGTCATTCAGAAGCAGGTTGTACAGTTTCCATGTAATTGTACAGTTTTGAGTGAGTTCTTAATCCTGAGTTCTAATTTGATTGCACTGTGGTCTGAGAAACTGTTTGTTATGATTTCCATTATTTTGCATTTGCTGAGGAGTGTTTTACTTCCACTTATGTGGTTAATTTTAGAATAAGTGCGATGTGGTGCTGAGAAGAATGTATATTCTGTTGAATTGGGGTGGAGAGTTCTGCAGATGTCTATTAGGTCCACTTGGTCCAGAGCTGAGCTCAGGTCCCGAATATATGTTTTAATTTTCTGTCTCATTGATCTGTCTAATATTGACAGTGGGGTGTTAAAATCTCCCACTATTATTGTTTGGGGGGTCTAAGTCTCTTTGTAGGTCTGTAAGAACTTGCTTTATGAATCTGGGTGCTCCTGTATTGGGTGCGTATATATTTAGGATAGTTAACTCTTCTTGTTGCATTGATCCCTTTACCTTTATGTATTAGCCTTCTTTGTCTTTTTTGATCTTTGTTGGTTTAAAGTCTATTTCATCAGCGACTAGGATTGCAACCCCTGCTTTTTTTTTTTTTTTTTTTTTTTTTTTTTTTTTTTTTGCTTTCCATTTGCTTGGTCCTCCATCCCTTTATTTTAAGCCTATGTGTGTCTTTGCATATAAGATGGGTCTCCTGAATACAGCACACCTATGTGTCTTGACTCTTTATCCAGTTTGCCAGTCCGTCTTTTATTGGGGCATTTAGCCCATTTACATTTAAGGTTGATATTGTTATGTGTAAATTTGATCCTGTCATTATGATGCTAGCTGGTTATTTTGCCCGTTAGTTGATGTGGTTTCTTTATAGTGTTGATGGTCTTTACAAGAAAAGTTGGGTTACCCACAAAGGGAAGACTATCAGACTAACAGCAGATCTCTCTGCAAAATCCCTATAAGCCAGAAGAGAGTGGGGGCTAATATTCAACATTCTTAAAGAAAAGAATTTTCAATCCAGAATTTCATATCCAGTCAAACTAAGCTTCATAAGTGAAGGAGAAATAAAATCCTTTACAAACAAGCAAATCCTGAGAGATTTTGTAACCACAAGACCTGCTTTACAAGAGTTCCTGAAGAAAGCACTAAATATGGAAAGGAAAAACCAGTTCCAGCCACTATATTTTGAATAATAATCATTGCCCACTTTTGAAAATGTTTATTTCTATTTTGGTGTTTTTAATTTATAGATTAAATTTTTTTAGGTAGAAATATATGTGTATGTGTACATGAATAACTTCTATTGCTTTTACTCCTAGAATCTCCTTCTCCCAGAGATAGAAGACTACTCACATATATTTTTCCAGACTGTATCTGCTCATTTGTATTTTTGCCCTAAATTTAAAATAAATTCCTGATGTATTAAAGAGTTGAAACTGGGAGAAGGTTTCCACTTCCCTTTAAACTGTTTAATACATCAGAAATTTATTTTAATGTTTATTATTGACCCAGTACTATTTATTGAAAACAAAATTTCTTTCTGTACTGATTGGAGTACATCCATAAAATAATTGCTAATAACACTATCTGAAATAAGTCCCTGCAACTTAGTGTTGTTCTCTGTCAGATAGTCTGTCTTCAATGCTGTAATAAATCCTCTGAGTCACTATCACAGATGTGAATTATTTTATTAGTCTGTCTCTTAATTTGTTTTTTGTTGTCTTGCTCTTATAGAATGTGTGCTCCATTAGGGAAGGACAATAATACAGTCTTATGCAAAAATCTATATCAACCATTTAGCAGAGTGCCTGAAAGATAAAAAGGACTTCTTATGTATTTATTGTCATAATGCATTAGTAGGAAATTATTAAAACGTATAATAAATTATAATCAACTATGTTCAAAAAATGAAAAGTAATTTCAATAAATTTTTGGTAAATCCAGCCTGTCTAGGTAATAAAAATGTAATACTTGAAAGATATGCAATGATATGAAAAAATCTATAATTTAGTGAATGAAAAAGTTATAAAACTACATGTATAAAAATACAATAAGCTCTCATTTTTATTAAAGAACAATATAACCCAGAGAGCTATGTATTGAAATAATGTTATTTGTGTCTAGAAGTTAGAATAATAAATTATTCTATTTAAGTTTTCTTGATGCTCTCCAATTCTGACTGCTCAAAAGAAATACATATCACTATTAAATTTATATTTTTAATAAAAATGGAAGTTAAATTTTGATCTGGCAGAAATATCTCTGCCAAATTGAAAAAATATATATTTTTAGCCAAAGATACTTACCTGAAAAGGAGTTTTCAAGTTTTGGTGTTTTTGTTTCTTTGTTTACTTTTTAAAGCAAACTAACAGTCTTCTAGACAAAAAGTAATCATCCGGGAAGGGAATTATTTAGTCACTATCATAGTCTCTACCTCTGGACACATACGTGTTTTTATTTTCACTCATTCATTTTATCCAATGACAGTTTTTTTGTGTGATAAAACAACTTCAACATGCAATAAAGAAGATAATCTCTTCTATCTCATATATTGTATCTACCCACTTTTGTTTCTTCTTATACTTCATGAGGCTGAATGCTCTTAACTTATATAGTTCAGTTTTTTCAATCTCTGCTTGTCTAATCCTTTGCAATGTGTTGAAATATATCAGAAATATAACAGAATTTATCAAATTTCAATAATAGAATCATAGAATATTATAGCCAGAAGGAATCTTAGGAATTCTGTTAGCCACTACCTCATTTTGTATGTGAGAACACTGAGGACCAATGAACAGAATGCTGGTCAAAATCTACCATCCAGTTAATGTTTTACTCACAAACACTAGTATCTACTGCAGAAAAAAAATATGAAATCCACACACATTAGAAAAGCTTGTCAAATAGTAAGATTTTTTTAAAGATGATTTTGGCAATGTCACCTTTATATGGTGTCCTTGCAATACAGGAAAGATGCTACCACCATTCAGCAATTGGAGGATAAAGGACCTCTCTAGGGATGCAGTGGACACTGTGACATTCAGCAATTGATCTAAGCAGTTGATCACAGCACCCCAGGCAGCTAGGTAGCACTTTGGAGTTAATGTGATGCTTTCCAAGCCCCTAACTCATTAACTCATGCTCATTGAGCATCTTTCCAGGGTGAAGTTCCATGAGAACCTAAGGCAATGCCAGAAGGTGAATCAGACAGACAGGCTTCTACTGGCCTGGAGTTTACTCTCTGATTTTGGGGATACGGCAGCCACATACAAGGAAACAAATTTATAAGTAATTAGAAAGAGTGAATTTATTTTCCCATCGTGGTTTAAGAAATGACATCTGTTAATACATTTCAAACACAAAGCTCAGAAAATCAACTTTATTGGCTAGGCGCAGTGGCTCAAGCCTGTAATCCCAGCACTTTGGGAGGCCCACGCAGGCGGATCACTAGGTCAGGAGATGGAGACCATCCTGGCTAACACAGTGAAAACCCGACTCTACTAAAAATACAAAAAAATTAGCCGAGTATGGTGGCAGGTGCCTGTTGTCCCAGCTACTCGGAAGGCTGAGGCGAGAGAATCGCCTGAAACCGGGAGGCAGAGCTGGCAGTGAGCCGAGATCGTGCCACTGCACTCCAGCCTGGACGACAGAGTCAGACTCCGTCTCAAAAAAAAAAAAACAAAAAACAAGTTTATTGTCATGATCATTCTGCTTCCCACCAAAACAATATTTGTTAAAACTTATTAATTAATTTTCAATATCCTCTATCATTCAAGACACTTTTCCATCTCCAGCTGATGCATAGGGGCAGGGAATGATCAGAGAAGTGAAATTGGTGAAGACTAAGCAAATCTTCTCTTTCAAAGCTTTTTCCAAGGAGTTTCACCAGAACCATTATTTTATGAGTTAATGTGAATATTAATAATTAGACTATGAATAGTTCTCTTTGTTACCTGTATTGTCCAAGGCTGACCCCTTCACCTACCAAATAAAAAGAGGTGGAAGAGAAGGAAGGAGGAGGAGGAAGAGGAGGGGGAGGAGGAGGAAGAGGAGGGGGAGGAGGAGGAAGAGGAGGAGGAGGGGGAGGAGGAGGAAGGAAGAGAAGCATCTTTATTTGGAATCTCAAGAAAGTGACTTTAGGTGCCTCAAGGCTACTACTGATTATGTTCTGGAAAATGGAATAAATGAAAATTTCCAAGAAGATACTTACAAACTCATCAATAATTCAGAGTGTCGTGTCCATTTTTTTGACAAGATTAAAAAGCCTTGTGTTCATTCATAAGGTAAATCTTATATAGCATGGATAAAGTAATTTACAATAAGGATGTGTAACTGCATTAAATCCTTGTTCACATAAACTGACAGAAGATCAGCCAAGAGCAGAATACTATGTGCAACTGGTCTTTTGTATTTAACAGCTAATAAGACAGCATCTTACAGCAAATGAAATTTCTGGTTTTGTCCTGAGGCTCATATAATAATACAGTTGTTTATACCGATTAGTACACCAATGAATGACATCTCTATTTCTAAGCATCCGCTTGATACCTGAAATCTTTGCCTTACCTCATAAACTCTTTACTGTATCAATAGGCATAACCTCATTCAGCTATGCTTCTTGCTATTATTATTATTATTATTATTATTAATTTGAGACAGAGTCTCGCTCTGTCGCCCAGGCTGGAGTGCAGTGGCGCGATCTCGGCTCACTGCAAACTCCGCCTCCCAGGTCCACGCTATTCTCCTGCCTCAGCCTCCTGAGCAGCTGGGACTACAGGCACCCGCCACCGCACCCGGCTAATTTTTTTTGTATTTTTAGTAGAGACGCGGTTTCACTGTGTTAGCCAAGATGGTCTCGATCTCCTGACCTCGTGATCCGCCCACCTCGGCCTCCCAAGGTGCTGGGATTACAGACGTGAGCCACCGCACCCGGCTTCTTGCTAGTATTATTAATTAGAGAAGCTACCACCAATATTGGGGGTAATAACAAGCAAGTAGTAGACATTCATCACTCAAAACATACTGTGACAATAAAGCCCTTAGGAAGAATGAAATTATGAAAAGTATAACTTGCCTGTAAAATAATAAGCAATTAAATTTCACTTAAAAGGGTAGAGCATGCATCTCTGATTCCACGGCAAGATACTGGGACAATATGGGATACATAGCCTATGTTAAAACAAACCACGACCAACAACAAACCTAAGCATAAATCCAGGAAAGCAAAGAGGTAGAATAGCAGATGTTCTGAATGCTGAGTGAAAAACTCCACTGAAGATTTGGATTATATCTTTGCATCTAGCCTTTGCCAAAAGAGCAGCTCCTTCAGTGATGGCAGGCTATTAAATACTCCAATCCATTGTCTCCATTAAAATGTGATTAGTGTCTGTTTGAAAGAAATGTATAAGATTGTGTGACTTGGGAGGAGGGAGGAGAATATAAGTAATCCTATTTTTTATGTCAAACCAAATATGAAGACAACAGCAGAAAACCTGTATGGATAAGCAATGAAATTATTTTCACAGTATATGAACATCATCACTTACTGCTAGTCTGTCACAATATTCTTTAAGGAATTTTTGATCTCAGTACTTTAGATTTCAGCCCGTGGATGACAGCCTATAAAACATCAACATGAACTAAACATGGAAGGATCACACAACCCTGAATACTACAAGAGGAAGTTGATCAGGTTTAGCTTTATGTATTTACAGTTAAAATAGAACACATGAGAAAATCTTTTCAGAGACAAAGGAACTAGCTTTATAGGGGCACACACAGAAATATGATAAAATAAATGACTGATTGATGTAAACTTTTGCAATTAATTTTCTGGATTAGTATAAATAACATGAAAAACAGCCCTCCAGAATATTATAATTTACTCATCAAATATTTGCATGCAATATACTAGGGGCTGGGGCGGGGGTGTAAAAAAATGGACAAAGCAAAAATATTCCCACCTTCATGGAACTTACATTCTAGACCGGGGGTTGGGGAGGAGAGCAGATGATTCACAGTAAATAGTGGCAAATAAAGATGAGGCCCTATCTTCTGGGGCTCACAAGCAAGTTGGGAGAAAATGACATAAAAATAAATAGCCACAACAATATTAGAAGAAGCAAAGAAAGCACTGTACATAGGGATAGTAAATCTTTAGTTATTACCCTGTCTTCATTTGATGAGCTGTGGTTTCTATAAAGGCCAGTCCAAAGCCAAGAATTACGTTGTATTGGTGATGCCATTTATGAATGAGAGCAAGCAGAGAAAATACATGAAAGAGTATGTCAAACCCCTAAGAAGTTAGGGTACTCTAGAAATTTCCCTAGCCATAATTAAGGGTCAAAAATAATCTGAGGAGACATATGTATATGTAGAAAATACAACATAAACAAAAAATCCTACTGTCTGTGCTATAGGAAATGGCTCTAAAAATGTTGCCCTACCATAGCAACCTTATCCCATACCTGATCAGTTGTTGCTCTCTTGTGTTCTTCGTTGGAATTAGTCCAATAGAAAGAAAAGAGGAGCCTGCAACTAGCACCAACTTCCCTATCCCATACTTTCCCTAATCAGCATGGATTGAGAAAATTTGCCCCACTCCACTTTTTTCCCAATCACATCACTTGGTCAGTAAATATTTCCTTTGAAGCCCAAAAGTCCGAATCAGTGTTTTCCCTCGAGTTTTAGGGTTTGAAAGCCTGGATTCATATTGAAATACGTTATGTGGGATTTATTATCCCTTAAGCCATTAATCACATGATCACCATGCATAGTTTCTGTGATGATGTAACTGAGGACAGTGATTCCCTACCATATTATGCAACATCCCAGGGACCCTAAGTACTTGACTCAGAGGTCATGCAGGAAGGCCAGCAGAAAGCAAGAGTATCTCCCACTTTTATGTGATTTATAAGCCTGGCCTGCATGTAAGACTTTTCTGCTTTGAAATAATTTTAAAAGCCACTGATGTAAGCCTCATAAAAACATTTATGGAGAAAGCACACAAAACACTGTCAGTAGCATGGCAGACACTTTATGTTAAAAACTTATTATTTTAAAAAGCCATTTCCTGGCACTCTCTCCCAGCTCAAACTGTCTCTAAAGCACCCTTAAACAAAAATATATTTAGAGTTCATTGATTTTTACTAAATATTAAACTTCTTAGATTGGATTTGTTTCCTATATCTGACATCTGTTAGACTGAATTTCTCTGTTTCGTGGCTTCTTTTTTTTTACCCCTAGTGGAAGTAATTTTGTTGTGATGGTCATACACCGGACCTCCTTTAAGACAATACCAGGTATCAAAAATCTAAAGGTTTGGAGAGAAAAAAGGAAAGATAGTAATAAGTTATGTCCTACCATTCAAGGGTCCTAATCATCTCACTGGAATTTGAGAAATGATTCAGAATCACTCATCAATAAAGCACTTCCAAGTAAAATGGAAAATTAAGAAAAAATAATTTTGGCCACAAATGAGCATTTTCCTTCCTACCTTCTCCCAACCCCTGACCATTTCTTCTGTGTCAACCTATGATAAATTCCTCTGTTTTCTTGTTTCTCCTTTTTTATACCCTTCCCTTATGTCTTTTGCCTTTCTTCTCCATGCAGCTCTTGGTCTACTTTTCTTCTTAACAATTAATCATATACATGTATAAAAGGCATAGGCATCACAGTCCGCAGAACATGGATTCAAATTGTGCCTCATCATTTCACAGTTGTGTGTTCATGAGGACCTCATTTAACTTCTCTGATATTGTATCTGCCTTTCTATTAATAAAATAAAGATATTAATACCTATACTATAGATTGTTGTGGAAATTAAATGGTCATAATGCTTTTAACTATCTCACTATTATAATATTTGTGCTATAGTAAGTGTTCAATAAATTTACCATTATTGTTACTTTCATCCCTAAGCGTAACTGCTGTTTTCCAAACATTATCCTTTCTTCTCTTCACTGTGCTCTTTGATACTCCCCTGTTTCTTACAACTTTGTATTTTCCCCAGATATGATGATGATGATAAAGAGAACAAAGGAAAAGAAAAAATAAGATGAGATGAAATTGTAGGAGAAGGAGGAAAAGGAGGAGGAGGAAGAGGACATAAAAAGAATGTAGTGAGTGTGGTAACTATAAAGGAGACACCTTGCATTCATTTTGTTATCACTATATGTATATTCATTTTCACATTTTATACTCAGAATTTATAGAGGCTGTTTCTATTATTCAACCCCTTTCTGTGTTGATAAATGACAGGTTAACGTGAAGAAGTTTACATAGCTAGTGTGTCAGCTTAAGTTCTTGAATAAGCAGATTCCAAGATGAAATTAGATGTTCAAGAGATTTATTGGCGGGAGATGCCTGTGAAGGATAGAGGTGAAATGAACAGGACTGAGTAGGGAGATTCTTCAAAGCAGTATGTAGGGATGGCAACTGTAAGAGTGAATGAAGATTGAGTTGCAAGAGTCACAAGGTACATGCAGACCTGTGCATTTTGGGAAAAGTTTTATCCAGGTTGATAGGGTGTCCCTGGGCCAAAATTTTCTATGAGACTAGTTCAGTGTCAAGCAGGAATGGGCAGGCACCAATGTCCCAGCCATGCTCAATCATTAACTGGAAGCAGAGTAGGATAAGCATGACATCTGCTAGTTCTCCTGAAGGAAATCCAAGTTGGTGATCTCGTGGACACCACAGCTCATAACTAACAGTGCCAGAATTTGAACCTAGGATGTATGGACTTAACCCTATACTACCTTTCTCTAAAAGACTTAGCTTCATCATGTGGGTGAAAGACATAATCAGTGGCATAATTCACCTCAATTTTAGAGAAAAGAGATTATTTTCTAAAAGATGGAGGTGAAGATGCTCAAAGTTTGAGAAATAAACTATGTTACAACAGTAAGAAAGGTGCATAACTGAGCTCTTGTATGAACCCAGGAAAAGCTCTAGACTTTCAGTGATTTATGGGCTCAATGATTGTATTATCCAGTGGAGGAATTTAGAAAGCATTTGGTTTCTGTCTGTCTCCTTCCCTTACCACCTTCTTTATGGTAAAACTTGAAGAATGTTGCTATAAATTGGTTGGGTTACTGTACAACTGTACAAGGAAGTAGATCTTTAAAAAGGATTAAGTCAAAGAAGAGAGAAGAACATGGTTTGTTTGTTTTTTTGTTTGTTTGTTTGTTTGTTTAGACAGAGTCTCACTCTGTCACCAGGCTGGACTGCAGTGACGTGATCTCGGCCCACTGCAACCTCTGCCTCCCAGGTTCAAGTGATTCTCTTGCCTCAGCCTCCTGAGTAGCTGGGACTACAGGTCCGCGCCACCACACCCAGCTAATTTTTGTATTTTTAGTAGAGGTGGGGTTTAAGCATGTTGGCCAGGATGGTCTCGATCTCTTGACCTCATGATCTGCCTGCCTTGGCCTCCCAAAGTGCTGGGATTATAGGCGTAAGCCACGGCACCTGGCCACATGGTTTCTTTAAATGTACTTTCCTACTGGAAGCTAATTAAATGCAAAAAACTCTGGAATTTTTCTTCCTTCTATAAGAAGTCCTTCTCATTTTTTTTAACTCAGAGTATTCAAATATAACCGAATGTACAAGATTATGAAAACTTAGATCTGATGAAGACCAAAAAAGAACTAACCAATGTTCACATTAATTGGAAATGGAAAAATAAATGGCTATTTAGTAGAAAGGAGGTGAGGGGCTCTTCTGCTGGAAAAAAAATAATAGATTTAAGTAATTCCAGAAAATTCAGTATCAAGATAGACTTAAAATCATGGTGGAATGTAAAATGTTAGATATGGCAATAAATTATTTTACGGAACAATTCTAGCTACCACGTAGATCACATGGCTACAGTAAAAAGCTAAAGTGGTGCTATGGTTTAAATGTCTCCCAAGTTTCATGTTTTAGAAACTTAATTTCCAATGTGGCACTATTGAAAGGTGGAGTCTTTAAGAAGTAATTGGACAATGAAGGCTCTGCACTCATGAATGAATTAATCCAAATGTGAGCTAATAGATTAATAGGTTAATGGATTAATGGGTTATGGGATTGGAAGTAGTGGCTTTATTAGAAAAAGAAGAGAGACCTGTGAAAGCATGTAAGCACATATAGGTGTTCAGCACCCTTGCTACGTGATGCCCTGTGCTGCTTTAGGACCCTATAGAGCATTCCCACCAGCAAGAAGGCTCTCACCAGATGCAGCTCTTTGACCTTAGACTTATCAGCCTCCATATTGTAAGAAATAAATTTCTCTCCTTTATAAATTACTCAGTTTCAGATATTCTGTTATAAACAACATAAAATGAACTAATACCAGTGGTATTCCTAAAATGGGTCACCATCTAATTCAACAGTGAAGTGTCAGGAATGTAGAGGGGCGAAAAAGAGAAATCGAGAATTAAGGTTTTACATGTACATGAAGAAGAGTAAAGGGAAGACAGAGCCCTCAGGAAAATGTAACAGTTAGTGGGGTCACTATAGCTGACTTTACAATTTATCAAAAATACAGTGTGTTTTATTTGTCCCTTACAGAAAGGATACCAATTGTATTAGACATAGATTCTCTCCTTCTAGGATATGAGAGTAATTTTGTTGCAATGAAACTCATCATGAGAGATTAATCCTAGATAACTTTAAGGTCACAGGTCCCACACTTTGGAAAGCTGGCATAGATTGATCCAAACCTTGAAAAGGCTGATTTGTTTTTTTCTTTTGTTCTACCTTATTTCCTTTATATTTAATTTTCTCTCAGATGATTCTCTATTATGCTTCATGGTTCATAGCAACATTACTGTTCAGGATGAAAATGTTTGTCATATTATGAGACTAACGTCTTTTATAGGAGAAACACTACTCCACTCAGAAATTGGTATGGAGATTGGTGATTGCCATAGTAGAAGTAGTAGGTGCTGCAAGTCTTATGCATCCTGCTTAACTCCTCTGATAAAATACAATACATGAGAGAGTTAGAGTTGAATGAATCCAATTTCAGAGGTGTTTAATGTTGCTAAAGAAAAAATTTTAACTCTATGGGAATGCAGCTCAAGCTACAGTTGCCAAAGAGAATAAAATATCCAACTACAACTGCTGCCTGGGACTTTGTAAACTACAACAAAAAAAAAAAAAAGAAAAAGAGAGGAGGTTTTGTTCTTACTTTGAGATTTTTATTTATTTGTGCTAACAAAGGGATAGGATATTCTTTACATTATGGATTTAATTTCTGTGAGGAAATAGGTATTATCTTACTAAAGTTCCAAAAAGCTGGACATAGGTTGAAATCATATATTCAATATCATTCTATGAGCCTTCTGAACTGGCAACTTAAAGCTTCCAAGTCTGAATTTCTCCAGCTTTAATATTAGAATAATGAAACATAGAATTGGTCTTTCGAAAAGGTAAATAAAATCAACACACCTTTAGCTAGATTAACTGAGGAAAAAAGAGAGAATAAATAAATAAAATCAGAGATGAAAATGAAGACATTACAGTTGATACCACAGGAATACAAAGGATTATAGGAAATTGTTATGAACAAGTATACAACAACAAATTTGATGATGTAGAAGAAATGAATACATTTCTGTATATATGCAACCTACCAAGATTAAATTATGAAGGAATAGAAAATCTGAACAGGCCAATAATGAGTGAAGAAATCAAATCAGTAATAAAAAGTCTTCCATCAAATAAAAGCCCAGGACCTGATGTCTTCGCTACTGAATTCTACCAAACACTTAAAAAAGAACTAATTCCAATTCTTCTCAAACTAGTCCAGATAAGTGAAGAGGAAAAAATACTTCCAAACATATTATATGAGGACAGCATTACTCTGACTCCAAAACTTGTCTGAAACTAAACAAGGACATAACAACAAAAAGAAAACTACAGACAAATATAACTGATGAAAATAGATGCAAAAATTCTCAACAAGAAACTAGCAAATTGAATTCAACAGCATATTAAAAAGATCATTCCATACAATCAAGTGGAATTTATTCCGAAGATGCAAGGATGTTTTTGCATATGTAAATCAGTAAACATGATTCACCACATTAACAGAAGGATAAAACCCATATGATCGTTTCAATAGATGTAGAAGTAGCATTTGACAAAAGTTAACATTCCTTCATGATGAACACTTTCAACTAATTAGATATATAAGGCATGTACCTCAACACAAATAAGTCCAAATATGACAAACCCACAGTTAACACCATTCTGAATCGCGAAAAGCTGAAGTTTTTTTCTCTAAGATCAGGAACCAGACAAAGACGCCCAGTTTCACTTCTTCTATTTAATATAGTACTGGAAGTCCTAGCCACAGCAACTAATCAAAAGAAATAAATAAAAAGCATCCAAACTGGATAGGAGGAAGTCAAATTGCTCCTGTTTGCAGATGGCATTATCTTATATAAAGAAAACTCTAAGGACACTACCCAAAAGTTGTTAGGACTAACAAATAAATTTAGTAAAATAGTAGGATAAAAATAAACATTCAAAAATCAGTAAAATGTATATATGCTAATAGTAAGCTATCTAAAATGAATAAAGAATACAATTCTATTTACAATAGCTATAAAAAGACACCCAGAAATAACCTAACCAAAGAGATAAAAGATTTCTTCACTGAAAACTATAAAACATTAATAAAAGAAATTGAAGAGGACACAAATAAATTGAAAACTATCCTGTGTTTATGGATTAGAAAACTCAATATTGTAAACATAGCCATACTACCCAAAGCAACCCACAGATTTAATGCAATCACTGTCAATATACCAATGACATTCTTCACAGAAATAGAAAAGAAGAATGCTGAACTGTGTATAAAATTTCAAAATACCCTAAATGGCCAAAGCAATCCTAAACAAACAAACAAAAAAAGCTGAAAGCATCACACTCTCTGACTTCAAAATATACTATAAAACTATGGTAATCAAAACAGCCCGATACTGGAATAAAATACATATAGACCAATGAAATAGAATAGACAGCCCCAGAAATAAATGAACACACTTACAGTCAATTGATTTTCAACAAAGGTGCCAAGAACACACATTGAGGAAAAGATAACCTCTTCAATAAGTGGTTCTGGGAAAATTAGATATCCACATACAGAAGAATGAGACTGGACTTTTATCTCTCACTACATACAAAAATCAACTTAAAATGGATCCAAAATTTAAATGTAACATCCAAAAAAATAAAACTACTAAAAGAAAACATGAGAGAAATGCTTGAAGTCATTGGACTGGGGAAGGATTTTAAAAATAAGATCTCAAAAGCACAGGAAATAAAAGCAAAAGAAGACAAATGGGATTACATCAAACTAAAAAGCTTTTGTACAGCTGAAGAAATGACAGAGTGAAGAGACAACCAACAGAATGGGAGAAACTATTTTCAAACTATTTATTTTGACAAAGGGTTAACATACAGAATACATAAGGAACTTAACAGCAAAAAGCTAATAGCTTTATTTAAAAATGGGTAAAGGATCTTAATAGACATTTCACAAAAGAAGGCATACAAATGGCCAACAAGTATGTGAAAAAATGCTCAACATCACTAATCGTCAGTGAAATGCAAACCACAATGAGATATCACCTCACTCTAGTTAGAATGACTATTATAAAAATACAAGGATACAAGTGTTGGAAAAGATGTAAACAATCCCACTAAACCTTTGGTGAAATTGTAAATTACTACAGACATTATAAAAAACAGTATGAAGGTTCCTCAAAGAAATTAAAAATGGAATCATCATATGATCTAGCAGTCTCACTACTGGGTATGTATCCAAAGGAAATGGACATTATCAAGGCATATAGCCATCAGAATATCTAAAGCCAATGTGAAGAAAATAATTCTAAGGGCAATGAGACAAAATCATCAGGTAACCTATAAAGGAAAACTTATCAGACTGACAGCAGACTTTTCCACAGAAGCCTTACAAGAGAGAAAGAATTGGAGTCTCATCTTTAGTCTTTTTAAACAGAATAACTGTTATCCAAGAATTTCGTATGCAGCAAAACTAAGTTTTATAAATGAAGGAGAAATAATCTTACTCAGAAAGCAAATGCTGAGGAAATTTGTCAATACTAAACCAGCCCTACAAGAAATGCAAAAAGGAGTTCTAAATCTTGAAACAAAAGATTGACACCCACCGGAATTTAAACTCCCAGAAGCATAAAATTTCCAGGGCTTATAAAATAATAACAGAATGAAGAAAACAAAGTCGCTAGGTAACAATCAACACGATGACTAGAACAATACCTCACATCTCAATATTAACATTGAATGTAAAATAGCCTAAATTCTCCACTTGAAAGATACAGATTGGCAGATTAAATTAATAATACACAAACCAAATATCAGCAGTCTTTAAGAGACGCACCTAAAACATAAGAATTCTTATAGACTCAAGGTAAAGGGTTAGAAAAAATATATCATGCCAATGAAAACCAAAAGTGAGCATGAGTAACTATTCTTATATCAGAAATTAGTATTTTGAAGCGATATCTGCACTCCCATGTTTATTGCAGCACTATTTACAATAGCCAAGCTATGGAATCAACCTGAATGTTCAACAATGGATAAATAAAGGAAATATGACTTATGCACAATGATATAGCCATAAAAAAGAATGAAATCTTATCATTGTGAAAACATGGATGAGCTAGAGGACATAATGTTAAGTGAAATAAGCCAAACAGAAATGACAAATACTGCATGATCTTATTCATAGGTTAAACCTTAAAAAAAAATGTCATAAGAGCAGAGAGTGGAAAAGTGGTTATCAGAGACTGGGGAGGGAAGGAAGAAGAGGAGTAAGAGAAGTGGTTGGTCAATGGGTACGAAGTTACAATTAGATAGAAAGAACAAGTTTGGGTGTTCTATTGAAAAGTAGAGTGATTTCTGTTAACAGTAAAGTACATACGTTATAAAATAGCTAGAAGAGAGGCTTTTGATATTTTTACAACAAAGAAAAGAGGCATGCATGAAGTGATAGATATGTTAACCACCCTGATTTGATGATTATATACTATATAATGATGTACTGAAACATAAATTTGTATCTTACAAACATGCAAAATTACAATGTGTCCATTTTAAAATAAAATTACATTTTTAAAAAATTGAAGTAATAAAATCATATACCTTATAGTGTGTTATGGGTCAATATGATGTGTCAAATTGGCTAGGCCATAGTACCCAGGAAATTGGTCAAAAATTGTTTTAGATATTTTTGTGAAGGCATTTTTTAGATGTGATTAAAATTTAAATAGCAAATTTTGAGTAAAGCCAACTTACCTGGAAGAAGAACTAATTCTATAAGTAGATCAACTTTGTACCAAAATTATGACTCTTTCCTGAGCGCCCAACCTGCTGACCATCCTGAAGACCTTGGACTTGCCAAACCTCAGGATTTATAAAATTAAGCACAAAAAGTAGCTAATACATAGTAACTGATCAATCAATGCTGCCTACCACTTAGTTGTACTTAATATTTAGACTTAAATATTTTCTACTGCAAATAGTATAGTGTTGTCTGGCAAGTGGTTCTGGAGATAGAGCTGGGGAGGTGAAGTACCTCTAAGATTGACTGAGCTTTTACTATGTGCTCTGTACTGAACACTATCATGCAGATTATGAATTTTATTCCTGTCTTTAGCGCTATTGCAGACACAATTATTTAAGAAAGGAGGAAACTAAGGTCTAGAAGAGAGGGGGTTGGAATCAGGACAAATAGCTAATGCATATGGGGTTTAATACCTAGATGATGGGTTGATAGGTGCAGCAAACCACCATGGCACACGTTTACCTATGTAACAAACCTGCATGTTCTGTACATGTATCCTGAAACTTAAAGTAAAATAAATTAAAAAAAAAAAGATTAAGCACCATATTGAGGGTCAACAGAGGTACCTATTAATGAATCTAAGCTGTTAAATCCAATAAATCTGATCCCAGAGTCTACACTCTTAATTGGTACAGTACATTTCTTCAAAATAAGGCACAATAGAACAAAATTCAACTCAAAAATAGAAATATATTAGCTTCTCCTTTACTATGTCATGTGGCCTTGTGGTTAGCCTCAAAAAGACTCTGGGTCGACCTCAGAGGCATTCACAAAAGCCATAAGAAGTTAAGGTGAGCACCCCGGTCTCCAGTGCAGAGACAGGGATTAAGCTGGTTGCCCCTTGAAGTTGTGGTCAGGACTTCTCTGATGCCCTCCTGACCTTACTCTCTCACTCCACCCTGAAGGAGTGGAATTGGACTTTTTATTTTGATTTCCCTATGTTCAAAGGAGTTAGAGGTCATATCTACAAATACCTTCTTAGATTAAAAGCGCCATAATTTTCATTATTCTTTGGCTGCAGGAAAACAAGTGGAAACAACTATCAATCTCAATTTAGGGAAGAAAAAAGGGAGTGGAAGAAATGATTGCAAAATGGAGGTCTTCTCATTTCTAAATTTGGAGTCTGCTACCCAGCTCCAATCAATTGTTTTTATGCAGACAAATGGGGACAATTTCCCAAGTCTTCTTATTTTTCAAGAGAAGCCAGAAATATAAAATTTTACAAGAAATACCCAAACTTGTAATGTTGAAAATGACTAGTAATTAAAAAGAAAATACAAGCGAGAGAGCCAATACAGTTTAACAGGTTACGTTATCTGTAGAAGAGTTTTGACACAAGAAACCCCAACTATAACTGCTAAATACAATTAATAAGATAATTAAAATGATTTTAAAAACCTTCCTGATTTCACTTCTAAGCCAAATCACAGATTAATTCTCAGAATCTGTGTTATGATTTAATGGAGACTAAAGAGAAAAAGATCTCTTCACTATGTAACCAACCTTGCTAGTTCTCACTCAAATTTAGTGATTTTTTCTTTTCAGAAAATGACTGTTGGCCTGATCACCACAGACAAAAACAAATAACAGGTGTAATTACCTGGATAATTTATAATATGCAGAGCATTCAGGACATTCAATGAAATTTTTATTTCAAATTTGTCAAATTAATGTATTAGTAAAACAGATAAATACTGTTCACACTTATCAGGCAAAACAATAGAAGCAGTATGCAAATACCTCAACCTTTTTATTGTTTTAAATCAAATGTGGCATTTTAGTTACTTTATCTCTGAAAGCACCTTTCAGTTAGCAAAGGAGTCTGGCTGTGAAGCCTCAAAGCAAAGAAAAATTCTATCCAATCAATTATTGTGTAATCCCCACATTATCTTATTTCTTTATAGCTGAGTAGTCACTGAAAACAGTAAAACAAGAAAGAAATTTGTTCTTTCTTTCTTGAATAATGGTTGGGTTTTAAATTAAAAAGGTATTTTGCATATATATACACACACACACACACATATATATATAAAATGGTATATCTATACATCACCCCCTCATGCACACTACTTTATTAACCAATGACTAACTGACCCTCTGATGATTTCAAACATTTAGTCATTATGTACCACTAAAAAGCACAGAACTGAGCCTGATAAAATTAAAAGAAGCCAATCTTTCAAATCAGCACATTGTGACTCTTATACCATCCAGTAAACATTTGAGTAATGTTTTCTTTCCAATGAGGATGGCAGAAATCCTGAATCTTGTTTCCTGTTAGTGTAAGAAATAAAAGCATTCAATGTAAAGTGTAAAATAAAAACAAAAGCAAAACTTATTGCCAAAACTCCATCTCTGAGCTAAAGCGCCATGAAAATATTTTTGTCTCAATGGGATATTTATGACATTTTTCCTTAAGAAATCATTGCAATCTCCATAAATGGCTGTACTAAAAAGTCTAGTTTGAGAAATAAGTTGTGTTTTTAAATTATTTTTTCTGATTTTTATGTAACTTTCAAATAATAGAATATCAGCCAATGATGAAAGAACACTTAGATTTTATTTATCCAAACAGATAACCCGCAGAAGTATACCAAGCAAAACTTAAAGATTCTGATTGTCCTAAACACATGTTGATCTACCTTGAATAAAGACCTCATTGTACATTTTGTTATCCTTCCTGTTATGCAGAAATGCAATCATGTATTAAGAACTCAACGAAGAGTATGGTAAACATTGGAAAGTCAAACAAGGCTGTTTTCCAAATATGTTTTTTGTTGTTTTTTTTTTGTTTTGTTTTTTTAATTGACTAACCAGATGGACAACCAGAGAACAGCAAATGTCACTAGCAAGGAAATGATTTTCGGTAGTGCTTTCCTGGGGTATAGTAAAGGATGCATTTCTAGAGACTTTTACAAAAAAAGATTATTGTGCATTTTTTTTTTGACACAGAATTTTGCTCTTGTTGCTCAGGCTGGAGTGCAATGGCATGCTCTCAGCTCACCTCAACCTCTGCCTCCCGGGTTCAAGTGATTCTCCTGCCTCAGCCTCCCAATTATCTGGGATTACAGGCGCCCACCACCACACCCGACTAATTTTTGCATTATTAGTAGAGACAGGGTTTCACCATTCTGGCCAGGTTGGTCTCGAACTCCTGACCACAGGTGATCCACCCGCCTCAGCCTCCCAAGTGCTGAGATTACAGGTGTGAGCCACCAAGCCTGGCCTATTGTGCAATGTGATTTGAAAAGGAGGGGGTGGAAAACTAATTCAGAGCTGATAGAAAACAGGTTTTCCCAAAAATGGGAAATTTACTTGATATTTTTCAATAGTTGAAACCAGCAAAGTCTGGCTGGCTATGAAATGACAACACATGTATTTAAAGTTACGCTTAATTGGAGGGCTTTTATACTTTCCATCACAGAAGACAAGTTCAATTGATTTTTTCATTGAACTGATGAGTTGTTGCACACAATTGTCTTAAATTGACTGGTAATTCAACCTGTGCCTATGTAACACTAAAATAACAGGTCAACCCAGAGGGAGAAAGAATCGCAATCAAATAGATTTGGTTCACACAAATTTATCTGATTGATAGAATTTTTCACCTTGTAACCCACCATTTCTGTTTCATAGATAAACATCCTCAGCTCAGCAGCAGTTCTGTCAAATCCCAAAATCTCCACACAAAGAGAACATCTGACCCAGTCCTCCATCACTGAATTTCAGCCTCTCAATTTTTGCCTTTGGGAAATTAATACTATTACATATGCATCTGCTTCCTCCATACTAAGCAGTGAGCTTGGCTAGCCCAAGGCAAAATAGTGAAACCAAGTCTGCTTTGGGGTTGCTCCAAATCTCCCAATCAAAGGTTTTCTCTTTCCTGATAAAATTTCTAAAATTATCAGTTTTCCAACTTTATCTAACGTGTGAACTACTGTGCCCCACCAAACTTAGACCTTCCCAAGTTCCCCTCAGAGCTTTACTGGTAGTTTCTGACAATGCAGTAAACTATTTGGAATTATAAAGCTAAAAGCTGCTAATAGGTTACAGTCCATGTAACTGTCACATTTTAGCTTAAGAGACTTTGGCACAAAGTTGTTACTACATGTGAGGCTGATCCTGAAGAGTCTACTTACATTATTCTTAAAACATTACAAATGGCACTCCAAGGGTAGAATTCTGGAGATTTTCAAGTTTAAGAGGCTCATGCCTGACCCATCTCCAGGGATTCTGACCCACTACATCTGGGCTAAACCAAGGCACCTTTATTTTTAAAAAGCCACATAGGTAAGTTTGAGGTACAGCCAAAGTTGAGTGCCGTGTGGCTACATTCTGGTCATTAGGTGTGATGAAGTCTTCTTGTGCTTAGATTCTGGGTATTAGATGATTACCCAGAAGTCTTTAATCCATTCTTCTTCTTAACTTAAACGTTAGACTTAAAACCATAAAAACCCTAGAAGAAAACCTAGGCATTACCATTCAGGACATAGGCATGGGCAAGGACTTCATGTCTAAAACACCAAAAGCAATGGCAACAATAGCCAAAATTGACAAATGGGATCTAATTAAACTAAAGATCTTCTGCACAGCAAAAGAAACTACCATCAGAGTGAACAGGCAACCTACAAAATGGGAGAAAATTTTTGCAACCTACTCATCTGACAAAGGGCTAATATCCAGAATCTACAATGAACTCAAACAAATTTACAAGAAAAAAACAAACAACCCCATCAAAAAGTGGGCAAAGGACATGAACAGACACTTCTCAAAAGAAGACATTTATGCAAGCAAAAAACACATGAAAAAATGCTCACCATCACTGACCATCAGAGAAATGCAAAGCAAAACCACAATGAGATACCATCTCACACCAGTTAGAATGGCAATCATTAAAAAGTCAGGAAACAACAGGTGCTGGAGAGGATGTGGAGAAATAGGAACACTTTTACACTGTTGGTGGGACTGTAAACTAGTTCAACCATTGTGGAAGTCAGTGTGGTGATTCCTCAGGGATCTAGAACTAGAAATACCATTTGACCCAGCCATCCCATTACCGGGTATATACCCAAGTGACTATAAATCATGCTGCTATAAAGACACATGCACACGTATGTTTATTGTGGCACTATTCACAATAGCAAAGACTTGGAACCAACCCAAATGTCCAACAATGATAGACTGGATTAAGAAAATGTGGCACATATACACCATGGAATACTACGCAGCCATAAAAAATGATGAGTTCATGTCCTTTGTAGGGACATGGATGAAATTGGAAATCATCATTCTCAGTAAACTATCGCAAGAACAAAAAACCAAACACCGCATATTCTCACTCATAGGTGGGAATTGAACAATAAGAACACATGGACACAGGAAGGGGAACGTCACACTCTGGGGATTGTTGTGGGGTGGGGGTAGGGGGGAGGGATAGCTTTAGGAGATACACCTAATGCTAAATGACAAGTTAATGGGTGCAGCACACCAGCATGGCACATGTATACATATGTAACTAACCTGCACATTGTGCACATGTACCCTAAAACTTAAAGTATAATAATAATAAAATAAAATAAAGAAAAAATAAAAAATAAATAAATAAAATTAAAAAAAAGATGATTACCCAGAAGCTTGAAAACATTATGCCAAACTAAAAAAGTCAGTTATAAAAGACCATATAATCTATGGCTCCATTATATGAAATGTGCAGAACAGGCAAATCTATAGAGACAGAAAATAAATTAGTGGTGGCTAGCACTGGGGGAGATATGGAGAATGGGAAATCGGGTGGGGATAGGTAAATGTTATTTAGCTAAAAGGTGTTTTTCTTTTCTTTTTTCATTTTGAGATGACAGATATATCCTAAAATGTGGTGATGGCACATATCTGTGAATAGATTAACAACTATTGACTGGTATATTTTAAATGGGTATGTTGTGTGGTATATTAATCATATCTTAATAAGGTTGTTACAGAAAATGTATATGAAATGCAATGAAATGCATATCTTCACAATTGCGACAGAAAAGTTCACCACTCTGTCTCACTTTTTTGGTGTCTGAAGATTTAAAAATGCTGTCATATTTTAAAATCCAGATTTTATATTTTCTTCTAACATTTACCATTGATAAATTAGTGGTTGAAACCCTGTGGACACTCCACTCAATAACTAAAATGAATTGACACTCCTCAACAAAACATCAGGGCCAAGTCATCAATAATGTAAAAGAAAGTTCCCTGCTGTTGGCAGAGTTGATATCTCTATTGATGAAAATATGCTCTCCAGGTTTTACATGTATAGATGATAATTTAATTAACAGAGTATAATTTCTGTCAGGGCAGAGTTGCTCTCCTGGCCACTCACTAAATCTTAAGAAGAGCACTCTGTCATCCACTGTTCAAAGCCAACACAAAAAAATCTGTCATCCTTGAGAGAAGTAGCTACTTCTAGAAGCTCAGGCAAATTTAAGCTTTACATCCCACAGCCATGGTCAATTCAGCAATGCCTCAGGCAATCAAGGGACCAATGTAAAAAAGCATGTTCTTTTAAACATGTTCTAAAGAATCATTTTAATACATGGTTTTGAATGAATTAATAAATAAGATACATAAAGGGGCATATTAAAACTTTATATTGATTTTGGCAATTATTACTCATTAATATTAAGTGAGATAGTTTTAAGAGCATGATTTGAGATGCTCCTAATGTTTCCTGATTTAAATATTCTGGAAATGAATGGTATAGAGCATTTACATTAGAAAACTTGGCATTATAAATTTATTCTCTGCTTCTGGTGTAAATCTTCTCCTAGCCTCTTGCTAGTTTCACAACCCAGGAATGTCTTTCTCAAGACCCTGGAAGCCACTCTTTTGAAAGTTTGGAGGACAGAATTCTAACTTTGATAAGCACCAATTAACAAACGCAGATGGCCTAATGACATTGACAACCTTCCCACTAATGTCCTCCAGTAATCTTCCAGTAGCTCATCCTAGTAATTAAAAATCCTCTCTTTTTTTTTTTTTCCAGTAGAGTTGAATTCAACTCTCTCTCTTATGGCAGTAGTCTTGAATAAAGTCTTCCTTATCTGTTCAACTCTGTGCAATATTTACTTGACAGTTCGCATAGGTCAGAATTTTCCAATCTGAGATATGAGGTGTACTGCACATGAGTCTAGGATGTACTGAAACATTAGTACCCTCAACACTCAGAGAAGGTAGATGGAGACACACACAGAGCCACAGCTTAATAATCTCTGGGCACAAGGACCCACTTCATTTATTCCATATCCATTTACTTCTATATCATTCTCTATGTGAGTTCTTATGAGAAACAGAAGGAAGATCATGACATGGAAGATATAAAGCACTAAATTTGTTATATAATACATATTTCTAAAACATCTATGCACAAATATTTGCATTCAAATCTAAAGAGGCTGTGAGAGAAGCAAAGGAAAAAGAGGTAAAACTAAAGTACATAAGAAACTTGAAATATAACATCAAGTAATAAAAATGCC
The DNA here is from genome assembly GCF_000001405.40 of Homo sapiens. Classification (NCBI taxonomy): domain Eukaryota; kingdom Metazoa; phylum Chordata; class Mammalia; order Primates; family Hominidae; genus Homo; species Homo sapiens. The sequence goes on from NC_000010.11 coordinate 57,007,904, forward strand.
AAATGGTACCTTACAAAGAACATAAGAACAAGCTAAACAATGGTGCAAACAAAGATCAAAATGAATTATATAAATTGAATTGATGGAGATAAATAGGATGTCAGACATAGTATAAGTGAATGAGAGCAAGATTTAGTAAAAAAAGGAAGAGATAAGTTATAGGCAGTGTTATACTAAAAAAACTTCACAAAAATATGAGTTCTGTGAATTTTATCCATGTCCTGGGTTTAAAAATAAATCAACAAACTTATTTGGACCTGAGTGATGTTAACAGAAGACCATGAGATCTGTGGAGAAAAAAAGGAGAAATTTATTATCCATTAAAAAAAATATGTGTAACAGGTTGAGACTCTGTATTATAAAAAATTAAAAATTAAAAAAAACAGCCAGGAGTGGTGGCATGCACCTGTAGAGCCAACTACTCGGGAGGCTAAGGCAGGAGGATTGCTTAAGCCCAGGAGTTCAAGGCTGTAGTGAGTCATGATTGAGTCACCAAAAAACAATATGCATACTGGGCAGGCATAGCCTCCAGTACAAGTGAAAGTGCTCTTTCCAAAGAAAAAAGAGAATATTAGAGGTTTTATAAAAAGGAGAAATGTTATGTACTGCTCTTTGATAAACTTCATTGGTACTAGTAATGTTTGAAGAGTTATCAAGCTCTGATTGGTAAGCGATGGTGTGAAACAAAACAAGTTTGAGAGTTGAAGCTGGTCTTTTCAGCAGTCATTCGATAAAATTGGTTTCAGGTTACTGCAGGAAGCTTCAACCTCCAGGCTTGCAAAAAATTACAGTTTTTGGAGCAATGTTTTATACCTTGTGTGTTTTTTCCCCCTGGTTTCTCAACTCTGTTTCAGTTGGGTATGGACAAAAATGACCCAATTCGTAAGATCTACTTTCACAAGGGCAAGCAGGGCAGGCTACCAAATGCTTGTCTAATGATCGAGAAGAGGAGCTGTAGAGTTTTTACAAACAGACTTGACCTGCTTCATCACCAGTCATAGGTTGCTCTTATTTGCAGAAGTGTTTGCCTGACACATGATGCTTCTTTGCTTTCCTGGCCCTGAAAGCTTTCACCAAAAATAATTTCTTCCTGCTCTGTTCTGTGATCTGTAGACTTCTAAGTATTTCCTGTGCCTCAGCTTGTGGGAAATTGATGTTAAATTTCATTTCTTAATTTTTGACCATTGTTGTCCATCTTCTGTCTTGAATTTTAAAGACCCTAATGACATTTTCAAGGTGGTAAATTTGCCATTTCTATTCACCTTTGGTTCCCTTGGGGACTGAGTACCTCATTTGACCCCTTTTTACTATAATCAAACTGATGTTTGAATCTGGAGGCCCTTCAAAAGACCACAGAAGCACGAGAGCTGAGAGATGACATGGCACCCTGCCTTTCTGGGAGCCCCGGCCTCCCTGTTTCTCATTCATTCAGCAACCGTGTGCACTGAGCCCTAGCAGTAATCCAGGTACAGTGCTCAGCCTAGGGCACAGTCGTGAGGACATCTGCTCTCAGAGTTGACAATCCACTGGGAGACCAACATAAAAATGTAAGTGCTGCAAGGGAAGCAGAGGCTGCTATGAAAGGAGGAAGTGGCCAAACCTGGTCTGAAGAATCAGAAAAGGCTTCTCAGAAGCAGTGACATGTTGGAAGCTGAGTCTTGGAGTGTGAGCAGGAATCAGCCAGGTGACTGTTTTGTCACTCTGAGGTGTCCAGTCCCTGCATTTCCCGGGGTCTAGAGTATACGCACAATCTGATGTCTCATCCTAACTCTCCTTTCTTGGGAAATACTGTATTTCCCCTAGTCATCCCTCATTTCACCTCCCATCATAAAACATTAAGTCCTTTCTCACATTGTCTTGGTTCCCTTATGAATAGCACCCACAGTCACATCATCTGAGATAAATACTAATTCCACACTCACAAGCTTTGTGAGTAATGGAAGACATATTTCTTCTCTGAGCCCCATATCCCTCACATGTAAATACAATAATACAAACCTACTTCATTACTTCACAGGGAGAAAAATGAAGAACATAGTGCTGCTACTGTTGTGACAATTTAAAAGAACATTAAAGAAAAAAAAGAATCAACTTCTGTTAGGCGATTTTACTTCAAAATAACCCCTTCCATGCTTGCATTTAAATATAATCATAATCCTCCTCCTCTTTATCATCATCCTCAAAGCTGATATTAGGTGTTTGTTAATGGGGTGAATGTGCATAGAGAAACTCCAGAAATATTTATTCAATTATGTAATTCTCCCCCAAGTTCTATGTTAGTATTATTGTATTCCAAGTTTACCAATAGCAAAATGAGGCATAAAGAGATTAAATATTTTGCCAAAGGTAAGAGCAGTTGTGTGTGAGCACATAAGGCTTATCTCCCTTTGTTTCCCCATTCTCTGTGTCTAGACCCCTCACCTCATTATGCTCTTGGCATTGTTTTCTGTGATCTCATTAAAAGCCAGAAGCAAGCCTGGTCCATCCTATCTTTTGAAGCACTACAACAGAGCTGACTTTTATCTGCTGTAATTGTAGGAAATTTCAAGTCGCTTCTTGAGCAGGGAGTCACAGAGTTACAGAATGTGACAGTGCTCCTCTATAGTCATTGCTACAAAACTAATTCTATTGAGAGGTAGAGAAGAAGCGGATAAAATGAAAGCCTCCTGCCAAAAGTGTTAGATGTCCTTTTAAACAACATCAACCTCTATTTGCAGACCACAGCATGTACATCCATCAAGCCTCATGACTCATTGCCTCTACTCCAATATCTGGACTGGTTTCAGAGAAGCAAATGGAGAAAATACAATACCATCAGAGAGCCCTGTGTCTTTCTGTGACCCTGCAATGTTTAGGATACTGATTATCACCACTGATGCACAAGATAACAATGAGCTACTTGCTTCTTTTCTCAGTTAAAACTCATAGGAGACTTTCATTGAAATAGATAGGAAATTGAGAGTCCTAGAGAGTATATGCCCACAGCACTCTCAAGAAGCCCATTTCAAAAGAAAGCTGAATCGGTTACTGTTTGGGGGCACACATAAGAATATCCTAGATTTAGTGAGATAATAACAGAAGAAGCAAGGCTATAAACCAGTGAGCCAAAAACAAAACAAAACAAAACAAAAACCATATTCTTTAAAATAAAGTGTTCACCTCAGGAGCTAAATACTTATTAACAAAATATTAAACCACTTTTTGCTGAATAACCCTGGTGCCTCTACTGCAGGATGGACCTAGATGAGCTGAATGGCTATAAGGTCAGTAGTCCATGCTGATGCTAGTACAGAAATTCCCTAAGTTATTGCCATCTGGGCTTTGAACACTCCGTTGTCCCTATAAAGCCTAATTTTATAAACAGAAAGCTTCTGTAGCCTAATATTTTCTCTTTCTTGCCATCTCTTAGAAAATATATCAAGTGGCACAGATGTGAACTATTTCTCTGGGAGAATTTTCTATAGTACATCTAGCTGTGTCCAAGCACCTCTTTCTATTGAGCAGTAAGAGACCTAGGAGCCCTGGATATCTAAAAGTAGAGGTAATATTGACTTTTGTGCAGTAAATGGGGGTGGGTAGAACCATGAATGGGGTGAAGGAACACACTTTGTTGACTTTTTTATGTGATCCTTATTTGTCATGCCTTCTTAATTGGGCAAACTCAGACAATTTATTAATTTCTCAGGTGTAAATGGAATAATAATGTCTTTCAGGTAAGCTTATATAAGGATTAAACAAGAAACATCATGTAAAGCATTTAGCATCATGGTTGGGCCCAGCATGTACTTAAGTAATATTAGCAGTTATGTATGTGAAATGTTTGGCAAAAGACCTAGCACACTGTAGGTACTTTAAAATATATATATATTTCCCCCTCACTTCCAAAACTATTATTTCATACCTTTAAGTTCTTTCAATCAATTTCCAAATCTGACTCCAACTATATTTTGGCTATTCTCAGAACTCACATTATCTTTCACAGAACAAAATTTATCAGTTATAAATATAAATAGCACTGACTAAAGATAGTTTCAGAACAATAGATCTCCCTTGTCCCAAAGGACAAGGTGTCAATGGAAGCCCCCATATCAATGGAAGCATCATTTATTGGAAGACTTTTGAAGACAATAGGCATTTTGTTGTATAAGTTCTGAATTATTTGAATAAAATTAGTGAAATGTCAGATAACGATCAATCATCCCTGGGTTTTACCACAACTGAATTCCGCAAACGTATGTTAAGCAATTCCTCTCCTCGCAATATGGTCGTGGGCTGTGTAGCAAGTCCATAATTTAATAAGGTCAACCCATACATCCCCAAATTCATGGGGTTGTTATAAAAAACTGGGAGAGAGGGGAGTAGCAAGATACACAGTGCTTCAAAAAATCAGTCAAGAAGTATTTAGCTTTGGGCTTGGCTAGATACAGAGGCTTAAGATCCAGAGGCTACAGTCTGTATCTCACTCTGTGCCATCTCTGTTTCAGCTGAGTTTTCTCTTTGATAAGATGTTGACTTCTTTCCCTTTGCTGTGCTATTAGCTGTTAGGTAGGTCCAAACATATACCCTCATAGTTTAGCAATTATAAAAGCAAGAGAGCCTTTCTTTTCCAAAAGTTTCAGCAAAAGACCCAAGAATGTGAACCACTATTGTGGTTTAGATTTGAGGAGCATCCACAAACTAATCACTCTGTCTCAGGGGATGGAATGACATTTGACCAGGACAAGGTCAGGTGCTCATCCAAGAACTTAGGAAATAAAGTCAGCCTTATTCAAAACATTTAGATTTAAAAGAGTATAATTAGGGTAGAATTTTATTAAGAATAATAAAAGAATGCTTAGAATTTTTTAAATACAATACAGGATGTAAGAGAATTATGTTCGAAAGTGGCAAAAGAATACCTCAAAATAGCAAGCACTTTAAACAACACAAGAGCTTATTTCTCTCTGACCATCAAAACTGAAAGGTAATCAGTCCCCAACCAATACCATAAACAATTTAAGAAATTCAGACTCATATCTTTTATTGGTCTAGTATGGGTTTTATTAACAAGAGTATAATATGGTCCAAGGTAATACCTGGAGTTACAACCATTACATCACATTGTACCTAATAGGTAGTCAAAACTATGAACTTATAGAAGAAGCTCCTCTCCCTTAAAGATACATCCTGGCAATTGCACGTACAATTTTCAGTTGCATCCCATTGGCCAGAGCTAAGCCACATGGCCACATCTAACTTTAAAAGAGACAGAGATATGTCGTCCTTATTCTGGGCAGCCAAAAATTAGGCGTCATATCATTGTAGAAAAAAGGAAGAATGGGGATTTGATGGCAATTACATATCTTCACCAAGCACATGTAAACAAATAAATATAATAGACTATAAATGCTGTACAGACACACTAATAAAATAAAAGTTTGTGTTTTATCTTTCCAGAAAGCCATGGAACTCTAAAATTAATCCAGCTTCTTGACAACTCTGCCAAATAAAGAAAATTACAATTGTTCTATACACTATGATAATTCTAAATAATGACAAAATAAAATTCTGGCAGCCAGATGCTTTAGGCACATCACAAACATCTTTGAAGATCCATCAGAAGCAATCCTCTGGGAATACTAATTATATAATTTCTTAGCCTTAGGCTTTAAACATTTTAGATCTTTCAATAATTTCAGAAGTAGAAACAAGAAATTTCTATGACTACTGAAGACTGAAATTAAGGAAATGATGCCCCTATCTTATTATTATGAAATATAGAAGGCCAATCATGGTGGTTCACACCTGTAACCCCAGCACCTTGGAAGGCTGAGGCAGGAGGATCATTTGTAGGTCAGGAATTCAAGACCAGCCTGAGCAACATAGTGAGACTCCCATCTCTACAAATAAAATAAATAAATAAATAAAATTAGCAGGGCATGGTGGCACACACCTGTAGTCCCAGTTACCCAGAAAGGTCACATGGGAGAATGCTTGAGCCCAGAAGTTTCAGGCTATAGTGAGTTATGATCACACCACTGCACTCCAGCTTGGGAGAGGAGAAGTCCAAAGAATTTAGTCTGGGCTATAGCCAAAGAAAAACCCAGAATCAAAACTAAGACAATGATCTTTAATAAGTCCACATAGTCTAGGACAGGGGTCAGAAATTTTTTTTCTTTTTTCTTTCTTTCTTTTTTTTTTTTTTTTTTGATAAGAGCCAAATAGTAAATACTTTAGCCATAGAGAGATATACACAGCCTCTATCAAATCTACTCCATTCTGCCGTTGTGGCTTGTGAGCAGCCAGAGACAATACGCAAATAAATGAATGTGATTGTACTCCAATAAAACTTTATTTACAAAACACTAAAATTTTAATTTGATATAAATGTTATGTCTTGAAGTGTTTCTCTTTTTGATATTTTTAAAAACTTGACAAAATTTGGGAACCTATCAGCCTAAGCCACAGAAAGAAAAACAGGTTGTAGGCAGATATGGCTGATTCATGCTACTTCACAATAAAATACATACTCTTGTCTTCAATTTAGCATTCTCAGCATTATAAATGCATTATTGCTGTGGTTTACATGTTTGTGTCCTCTCCAAAATTCATGTTGAAACTTTATCCCTAATGAATAGTATTAAGAGGTAGGGCCTTTAAGAGGTGATTAGGTCATAGGGCTCCACTCTCATGGTTGGGATTAGTGCTATAAATGGATAGAGGGAACTAGCCAGGCCCATTTGCTCTTCTGTGCCTTCCACCAAGTCAGGTCACAGTGTTTGTCCCATCCTCAGGATGCAACAAGGCACCATCTTGGAAGCAGAGACTGGGTCCTCACTGGACACTAACTTGCAGGGATCTTGATCTTGGACTCCTACTCTCCAGAACTAATACATTATTGTTCTTTAAAAAGCCAATCTCAGGGTTTTTTTTTAGACTAAAACAAATATAAATTTCTAGTTTTATCATCAGCTTGTGCCCAGAGGGAAAGAGTTAAGCTGCTGACACTCTAGCTGGCCTTGTAAGCCAGGGAATGTAGCTGCAGAGGTGTAGGGGTGGCAGAGAGGAGCTGCAGAGCCGGAGCAGACAGCCGAGATAAAGGCAGACAGTATGAAAGAGGTGCGATGACAGTGCTGCTGAATAAAACTACATTTCACCTGCCTATGGCCCCCCAAAGTATTCTTTCAGCTATCTGCCCATCCACCCACTCCCCTCAGACCTCAGCTAGGGTTGAATCTGACCCTGAGAGAGACATTTGGTGTAGTCATGAACCTGACAATTGGCAACGTCCGCAGTATGAAGTGAGTGGATTTTCAGAACCCAAGGCTTTCGTATCCGCTATGTGGCCACAGCATGAGCTGTGGTACCTGGTGGCAGCTGTGCTGTGAGGATGGGCCCCAATCAAAACATGAAAGGCAATGGATGTGTCTCTCGCAAGTGTGGAGATGGCGCTGACGTACCTGGAAGTGCACAGCACCGAGAAGGAAGCATGCCTTTGCTGGCAGAGTCAGATGGGTGTTTGTGACTTTGCTCGGGGAAGTGCATGCCCAGTCCCTGCAGAACACGGCACAGAGAGGAGGAAGAACCTCTCTTGCAGGCTAACCCCCTGGTCCTTCAGAAAATAGAACATGAGCAGCTGTTGGGCCCCAAGGGTGGGCCAGAGACCCCCTACTGTGATGGAACACACTTCCTTTGGTGCCTGTGCCCTTGCTGAGTTTCAGGAGTTAAGCGAGTAATGTCGGCAGTGTCTGGGGGAGCCCTCTGCCTGAATAGTCCCTCTCTGGAACGAAGGAGCTAACGCATTTCCTGCCCTGCCTCCAAGATTGGGAGAAGGACTTTGCTGCGCAGTGCGGTCCCGCCCAGGTGTTCCAGTTCACAGATTACCTGCTGCAGTCAGATGGAAGTGTAAAGCCTTTTCTGTTTGATGAGAGAACTGGCCCAGGTGCCTGGCTTGGTGGGGCACCGGACAACCAAAGGCCGCCTGTGGATTTAGCAATCCATTGGGCCCTGAGCCCAGATAAGTTTCTGGGCAGAGCTGCATTTATTAACTGTTATGAAGACCGGTCAGTAAAAGTAAAATCTGTATCTTTGCATCTTGGCATCAGCTGCTTGGCTCTCCACTTATGCACTGTGTCTGTCTCTCCCGTACCTGAAGACATTCTGGGGGTGGATGTTTGCACAGCTTGGCAGCTGTGCTGTCTGTCACGGACCATTTAACAACAGAACTGGAGGGTGCCACTGTTTGGTGGACTTGGCCAATGTATCCCTCTCAACTGACATCGCTCCAGAGAGCCAGGAACAGTTTGTCTTCATAGGAGGGCTACAATGGACTTTCACAGTGTTGCCACAGGGCTATGTGTATAGCCTCACCATATGTTGTAGCCTTGTTAATGATGTTAAATCTGATTCTCTGGAAGATTTAGAAGCAGCAATGCCCCCCTGCCTGGGATTGGATGGTGAGGCTGAGACAGCCTTTCCTGGCAGCCAAGCATGCTACTCAGCAGGCACAAGCCCTACGGGTAGTTAATCAGAGGTGGCCATTTAAGCTAGATATTCATACGACCACAAATATTTTTAGTTAGGGCCTATAGCAGGACACAGAGCACCTGAGTATGCCAATGGGCTTTTAGTCCCAACGTTGTATGGAAAGGAGCTGAGCTCCGGTATTCCTTAATAGAGAAGCAGTTAGTAATAGCTGGATGTGTGCGCTCATGGATAACAAAGCCCTGGACTGGGAACACAGTTAGTAACTGCATATACTGCTCTTCAGCTCATAAGAGCATGGAAGGATGGGTTACAGTCATTGTGCGGATGATTTACCCAATAGTGGGATGGGTGCATTCATGGGTAATGACCCCTCGGACTGGGAAAGCAGTTAGTAACCGCATATACTGCTCTTTAGACTCATAAGAGTAGGGCAGGATGGATTATAGTCATTGTGTGGACGACTTACTCAATAGTGGGATGGGTGTGTTCATGGGTAATGACCCCCCAGAATGGGATGGCACAGACATCTACTTTAGTGGAGCAGGGTGCCTACTTGAAGCAGTGGAGTACGCTTAATACAAGTCCCTTAGCAGCAGAGCTGCAAGAGGTCTTGGGACCTGTAATCCTAATGCAAGATAAGACCATAGGGCATAAGGTCTTGGAGCCTGAGGCACCCCTAGACCCTGAGCCTTCACTGTTTAGGGAAGTGTGTCCTTCTTTTCCTAATGGGGACCCATATAGGTGGGTCTAGCTGAGGTGTTACTGTTGCCTGGACTGTCGCAGTCCAACCTAGCACTGATACTATATGGTTTGAAACCAGGTGTAGGCAATGTAGCTAATGAGCTGAACTCAGGACAATGTGAATAGTGATCACCAAGGAGGTGACACCTGCTTGTGTACCCAGATGCTTATGAATCAGGTCTGTGTGCCCAAAGCTTATGTGTCAGGCTTATGTGTCAAGTCTATGTGTATGTATCAGGCCTGAATGCCCAAAGCTTATATGTCAGACCTGTGTGCCCAAGCCTGTGTATTGGGCCTGTGTGCCTGAAACTTATCTCTCCCTTGGCATAGGGTGTGGAATGTAAGGTACATGGATGTACCTGGTCAAGGAATAGGCCAAGGCGGACATCCAGGCCAGAGTGACTCAGCAAGTTTAGGGTGCAGGTGCACACCTCCACGTGTTATGTAACCTGTTTGTGTAAGCTCATACTTGGCTTGGAGCCACTATCGTTTGAAAAGGTGTAACTGCCCTGCTGATGCTATGCATGGGCTCAACATGGCATGTGTGCTGGTGCCCAGAGAGACAGTAATGCTACTGACCCCTGTAAGGGACAGCTGGTTGCCTTGAAGGTGGGCGGGGGGAAGCCAGGAACCAGCTTGTGCCCAGAGAGAGTTAAGTTACTGAACTTGTAGCGGGCCTTGTAAACCAGGGAGTATAGCTGCAGGCATGGGGGCAGAAGAAACCACAAAGCCAGCTGCTGAGAGGAGCTGCAGAGCTGGAGCAGACAGCTGAGATAAAGGTAGACAGTGTGAGAGAGCTGCTGATGAGAGAGCTACTGAATAAACTACATTTCACCTGCCTATGATGCCCGAAGTTTTCTTTCAGCTATTTGCTCATCCACTCACTCCCCTCGGACCTCAGCTGGGCCTGGAATCTGACCCTAAGCATGACATTTGGCATAATTCTGAACCTGACAAAGGGATTAGATTTTTCAAAGCATTACAAAAAAACTTGAAATTCCAACCAACATAATATTCCTCTTTTTAACCCTCATGTGTCTGTCTTAAATCAGTCACAATAAATGGAAGTGCTCAGTGTGCTCAAAAGATCTTAACTCTTTTCCTCAGATGATTTCCACAATTAACTAATCCATCAGAAGCTTAGAAACCATTGTACATGAAAGTAATATTTATTCTAGTGATGTGTAGTATAAGTGACCTTTTCCTAAAACTTTTTAAAACTATTTTCAGTTTTAAGAATAAGCAATGCTATTACTGTCACTGACGGTGAGCAATGAAATGCAAAAACTCAGAAAGAGAATGAAAAGGGCCTTTTGTTTTGTTTTTACATTGCAAAACATGACGAGTTGTGTATCCAAATGATTTTTACATTGTGTTCAGCTCTCTGAAGCAGCACAATGACACTTCAGCTCTATTTTATAAGATAAAATACCAGATTAGCTAGAAGTGAAAATTTATTCAGAACACAGAAATACACAATTCCATGGCCATTTCCTAGGATTCCCCTTAGGGCAAAGCAATTACCATGTGAAAGCACTTATTCATGTCCTGGCTCTGTGCTGATACCTGGAGTCTTGCTGGGAGAACAGTGAGGAAGTGATAATAGAAGGAAGATTCTAAAGACCATAGAAGGAACCAGAGATTCTGAAGAACAATTTCAATATGATTTTTTTCAGTTTAAATTTTTGCATTTTTCCTGCCTAATCTTGTTCCAAAACATAGGCCCCCATTTCCATAGTAACTGCAAGTCCTTTAAGATTTGCCATGAACATCAACTCCGGTAGAAAACAGGCTCTGTATTTTTTCCATCTTTCCTCAACTACTTATCTGTGACCTTTGCCCCTTTGTCTAGGGACTGTTCAGAAAGCAAATTCAAGTTTCCAGGAAGGTCCCTACAGCTAAAAAATTATCCCTGGTGGTTCTGTTGCAGGACTTTTCTTTAGTTCAGCTAAACATGGGGTTCTTTGTGCCATGGCCATGAAAATTTAGCCTTACAGACAATTTCAATGGTGGGAAAGACAGGGTTTTATTGGGTGAAAAGGAAGAAAAGGGAGAAACAGGGACTCTCACAAGGCCAGAGTCCCTGCTACAGCTCTTTCTGACTAGCCATTTGAATCCCAGGTTCTACACAGGAAAACGAGGGGCCAGGCTCCTTCCTGCTTCAAAGGACACGAACTTCCTGAGGCTCCACCCCAGAGTTCAGGCAGATTGGAGTTTTCCCAGGAACATCCTCCAACCTGGCTGTTACAGTTCTGTCATATATGTTACTTCTAGGTCACAAAATGTGGCTTTGTGGGGGGATGCTTGACAACAAATTATCAGATTTCTGTCAACTTCATTTAAAAACTTTTATAGAAATTTTACATTGACTCAAAATTCAAATGTGATGTCACAAAATTCCTCTTGGTGTATTATAGTAGGTAGCTAATTAGATATGAACAAGGCAATAGAAAAACCCCCTCCCACTGCCCCTTCCACAAACAGAAATGTCAGGTGACGATCAGGTGATGGTCAAGTGGTTGTTAACTGTCTATCTAAAATAATAATTGTTCGCAGCTGGCACCAGGGAAAGGTAACCCCCCCGAAAAGATAGGGAAAATCCAAAGCTGGTGATCAGTAGTTTCCCAGTAAGATTTCAGGAGTTGGGTGAGTGGGCTCACCTATGCACACTAAGAGGCAAAATGGCGGAATTTAACTGATAAATAAATTCCTAGAGACATTCGGCTGGTAAGGGAAGAACACCTCAAGTGAGTTTGTGTACAATTCCAGTAAACACTCTGTGCATGCTTCCCTCCCAAGTGCTAGCAGAGGCCACTGCACATGTGAACAGCCCACCCCAAGGGAAGAATCGGGGGGAAGAAACACAAAATGGCGGAAGTATGCCAATGTATAAAACCCCAAATCAAAAGGTCAAACTGTGATCTTGATCTCTCAAATTGCCTGCCTGCTCCTCTTCCACGTGTACTTTATTTTCTTTTCATTCCTGCTGTTGATAAAAGGAGTCAAACTCTGTACAGTACATGAAGATATTTATTCTGAGCCAAATATGAGTGACCATGGCCCATGACACAGCCCTCAGGAGGTCCTGAGAACTTGTGCCCAAGGTGGTCAGGGTAAAACTTGGTTTTATACATTTTAGGGAGGCATGAGGCAACAATTAAATACATTTGAGAAATACATTGGTTTGCTCCAGAAAGGCAGGACAATTCAAAGCAGGGACTTCCAGGTAATAGGTAAATTTAAACATTGTCTGGTTGACAATTGGTCAAATTTGTCTAAAGACCCAGGATCAATAGAAAGGACATTTTCAGGTTAAGATAAAAGATTGTGGAGAACAAGGTTCTTTTGAAGTCTCCTAGTCGCTGCCCTTAGAGAAAATAGATGGTAAATATTTCCTATTCAGATCTTTAAAAGGTGCTAGACTCTCAGTTAATCTCTTCATGATTGGGAGGGACTAGAAGAAAAAGATCTAGCTATGATTAATAGAGATTCTTTACAGGTGCAAAATTTTCCCCACAAATGATGGCTTTGCAGGGCCATTTCAGTATATGGCAAAGAAACATGTTTTGGGGTAAAATATTTTGATTTTCTTTTTTTGTTACATAATGTTATACCAGAGTCAGATTGGAAAGTAAGTCACAATATATAGGGTTAAATAAAAACCATCTAATGATAATTTATGGTTTGTAGGGCACGACTACCCAAGCCCCTAGATAAGAACTTGGGCAATATAAGAAAAATCAGAATTTAGTCTTCACTGCTATAAAGCTTTCTAATAAACTTTTACTTCTGCTCTAAAACTTGCCTCTGCTTCTTTTTCTGCCTTATGCCCCTCAGTCAAATTCTTTTTTCTGAGGAGGCAAGAACTGAGGTTGCTGCAGACCCCTATGGCTTCGGCATCAGTAACAAGTGCACGGGAGATAGGGTAGTTTGGGAACTGTAAAACTCATGTGGTATGTCACCTGTGGGTGCTGTTTATCAGTTAGGCACCACAGGGTCATGTTACAAGGTGGCATAATTTAAGGTTAATTTGGCAATAGTACCTACATGTGTATAAAACTCTGAGACAAGGAAAGCATTTAATAATTTGCTATTATATAACAATATTGGTCCTTAAGCTTTTAAATTTGTAGCAAAATATTTTATCAATGTTAAGGAAGTATAGACTTTGTATTTTTTTAGGTAAACTATTATAGAATATTATAGAATAGTTTTTTTTTCATTTACAGAAAAGTTTTGAAGATAGGAAAGAATGTTCCCATACATCCAGCTTCCTCTATTGTAACATCTTATATTACTATAGTACATGTGTCAAAACTAATGAACGAATATTGATATATTATTATCTAAACTCCATAGCTTATCCAGATTTCCTTAGTTTTTAACCTCTTTTTTCTGTCCCAGGATCCCATCCAAGATACCACACAAAGGTTACTTGTTGTGTCTTCTTAAGCTCTTTCTGACTCTGACATTCTGTGGCAGGCCAGGTTTCCATTAGCAGCCAGAGCAGCCAGTTTCCAAAACCCTTCACTACAATTCTGATGAATGCATACGTTAAACATTAAAGAACTGGATAAACTGGTGCCTGAGTACAAGGGCTGAAATGTGAAAATAAACCCATTAACACCCCACATAGGTTTTCTCAGACCCTAAAGTCTGATCTAATAATAAAAGCAGGGCCAGCCGTTGTGGCTCATGCCTGTAATTCTAGCACTTTGGGAAGCCGAGGTGGGTGAATCACCTGAGGTCAGGAGTTTGAGACCAGCTTGGCCAACATGGTGAAAGCCTGTCTCTACTAAAAATACAAAAATTAGTTGGGCGTGGTGGAGGGCACCTGTAATTCCAGCTACTTGGGAGGCTGAAGTAGGAGAATCGCTTGAACTGGGGAGGCGGAGGTTGCGGTGAGCAGAGATCACACCATTGCACTCCAGCCTTGGTGACAAGAGTGAAACTCCATCTCAAAAAAAAAGAAAAGAAAAAGAATAATAAAAGCATTCTTATACATACATCTAGTACAAGGGCCCACTTATGATTAAAAAACTTTCCAAGGCTCTAGAGGAAGCTTTCCAGACTCTAGACCTTAGTTAAACATTAGATACAGAATGAATGAAACACTCTCACTTTAGGTGCACTGCCACAGGTAGGCATAGAGCTTAAAATGTATATATACACTGGAGAAAAACATAACTTTGAGTTGGTCTGGTGAGTTACTCTGATCTTCTCCCTGTAACCAGTTGCAGAAATAAACTCCCTTCTTTTTCAATCTGTCTGCATGTTGTTATTGGACCAAGAGAACAAGCAGCCCAAGCTAGTTCGCCTGGGAACAGTTTCCTCAGCCTTTCTTTGTTTTTCATGATCTTGATAGTTTTGAAGAGTAATGGTCAGATATTTTGTAGGATATTTTATCCCTCAACAGAAGATTTGTCTGAAGTTTTTCTTATTATTACATCGGGGTTATGGATTTTTTGAAGGAAGACCACAAAACTGGTGTCAGTCTCATTATATCTTATGAAGGACACATGTTGTCTTAACCTTAATCACCTAGCTGATGTATTAACATAATTTGTCAGCTTTTTCCACTATAAAACTATAGCCCACCCTTGTGATCATCCTACAAAAGCAGGAGAAAATCCTGCCAAATTTGTTTTGAAGAACAGATTGATAACAACACACATGCCTAGAGGTTATGGAACGTTTTATTACATACTTGAGGTTTCCATGGAAAACTTCAAGCAAGATCAAAATGGATTGAGAGAGCAATAAAAGGAGACTGGCTATCTGGTGTTTTTATTGTGTTTAGGCGTGAGGTCAAAATCAGCTCCAGTAGTAGGGGCTTGCGTGGTTTGAAACCTCTGCCTGCATCAAAGAAGGCAGCACCCAGGCTTTCTTCTCAGATGGCCCATGTGTGAGATTTAAAGGAAAGAGGAAGGGATGAGGCCTAAAATCTGTCAACAGTCAAACATCAAAAAAATGGTTTCAGACTCCTCATCACACCCCCCTTCCATACTGTAATTTGGAAGGAAGTAATTCTATGCAGCTCACACTTAAGAGGTAAAAGTATCCACTTCTTTGGTGGGAGTTGTGGGAGATTATCTACATAAATTATTTGAAATTCTTCTGCACAGGAGACATGTCTATTTATTTATCCAAACATTTATTTATATCAGCTCAGATCCATGAGTATTTATTCATGGTTCATGGTTATTTCTACTTTGGTTTATAATCTAATGCAACAATATTAATTTTTTTGGCTGAAGCTGTTCCAGTTTTGGCCATTTGGAGCTCTTTAACTTGGCTACCTTGTCTCTTTGACAGACCCCCATAGGCTTTGTTTTTTTTCTTTATCTTTTAAGCACTTTCTTTTTCTGTGTCAATATAATTATGCTCTAGACTTATCATATATATTCCCTGCCCAGCCCTAGCGCCAGCCAATTTTCCAGGGAGTTCTAGTTCCTTTTATTGGGGTGTGGAAATAGAAACCAAGATTTAAATGGGTATTATTTATTTTTAATCCTAAATTTACTGAAGATGAAACAAGCTCCACAGGGCTTTGTGGAGCCTCTGTGGAAAAAAGAGCCTCTTGTTATGAAGTGGGAAAATTAATATTCCAAATGATGAGAGTGAAACCAGTTCAGAGGAAATGAAGACCACAAGATTTCTTTCTGGTTACTTTGCCATATGACCTCTCATATACTGAGTTGAGTTTTATAGTCATAATCGATGGTGAAGTACAAAACCACACTGTATTATCTGTAGAAATGTACTGGCTAATAAACCAACATAACCTTCAAAGTCTAAGTGGCATTTACAAGCAAAACAAAGAAATTCATTTAGAGCAAAGCAAATATTTGAAAGAAATAATAAGGAATTAAAAAGAAGACAGAAGTAAATATTCAATATTTCAGATATAAACACAGTGACTTATAGGCTTTTCATGAAGTATCAACTCTGCAAAAGTTGCTGAAATCTTAGTGGAAAACTATCAAATATACTTGCTTGGCTACTTTTTAATGAACCATAACAGGGTAGCTCAAATACAACCTTACAATGATACCATATATATCTAGGAAGTGGTTAATGATATAGTACATGAATGTGTAGAACAAATTAAGTGAGAATTTTTCATGGCAGCTTGATGAAAGCACAAATATCATTAATATGGAAACTTGTTCAGTGTGTGTTGTATTTTAATAGAATAGTGATATGGAAAATTATGTTATGAAGCTTAATTTACAACAAACCAACCAGTTCTGAAATGTGTTGAACTTTGAAGGATTACAGTGTTAAAAAATGTAATTTGGAATTTAAGAGTGGATAAGAGTGTGTTTTGATTTCAGGACTTTATTATATTAAATTATACATTATTATATATAATTATATACATATTAAGTGTATTTAATTTCAGGATTTTATTATATTAAAATGAAAATAAAGAGTTCTTTGTTCTTTGGAAGACCTCTAGGAAAAAAAATAAAGTTCATAAATATTGATTCTTACAAATAAAACTACTTGAAAATAAAATCGAAAAACTAAACTCAGGTTTAATGGTCTCTGATGGAATGCTGGAGGTTACAGCTTGTGCTAAAATGTAAATCAATACACTGTTTCCTTTGAGTAGAAAAAATTTACTAAGAAAAATAACATGTTAGTTAAATTCAACAATGTGCTGAGCGATGTAGTGAAAAATGTGATATACTAAAGAACAATTAAAAGCTCGATTTGAGATATGACACTACTATTTCAATATGTGGAAATTTATCACAAACAATGGTTATTGCACATTTAGTTAATTATCAATGGGAAAAATTCTGCCATAAAATTTTCAAGAACAGAAGAAACTCTTAGAGGTTAAAGAGGTGAGTTAGATATCCAAACAGATTAACAAAACAGTTTACATTTTATTTTCCATCAAAAGAAGGCTCACATATATGAAATACATGGATCCAGAATTAATTTATTTTTTCAAAGGAATAATTTAAGTTATAACTGTGTAGAATGAATGATTGGAACAGCTTACTGAAAAATAATTGAAGATGAAACTTGAAAATACAGAATTATTAAGTAGAATAAGCCAGACATAGAAAGAAAAACATTGCACAGTATCATTTTTCTCACTATTTTTAACATTTGTAGATCAAAGTAGCCAATATATAGGACAAACAAGTCTAGAGACAATGTGCAACATGAGAACTTAACAAAATCATATTGCGTTAGGGATTTAAAAAAAATAGATTTTAGCTACTCTTGTCACAAAAGTGTAACTATTTGAGATGTTAGGGATGTTTACCTGCTTCACTATAGTAACCATTTTACTAATATATGTATTCCATAACATCATGTTGTAAAACTCACATATACACAATACAATTTATTTCAAATAAGAAAAATACTCATTTTTCCCTTCATTTAGAATAAATTTTTAAAATGATTAACTTGAGTCATTTTAAAAATGACTCAAGTTATTTTTAAACTTGAGTTTAAAAGGCTGCTATTTTTAAACTTGAGTTTAAAGCCTGCTAAGATTGCCTTTAATATCTGTTCACATTCCTACTGAGATGCTTTGGAAAGACTGCATTCTCTATTGTGAGTATTAATAAAACAATCCTACAAAATTGATCTATTTTGTTCCCCTTAAAATAGTATTATTATCAATCCAACCTAGCTAAATAAGATGGCAAGCACATTTACTTGTCACATTAAAAATTTATATACTGACACATACAGTGTTTGCTTAAAGTTTCTCCATAAGTTTTTATGTGGCCTCTGCATTTCGTCCATAATTTTGTTGTTAAATTACAATTACAGAAGGACAAAAATAAGTTATGAGTTTAATACTAATTTTCTGTATTAACCACCAATACACACATTTTCAATGAACAGTGTGAATACATTTGAATTATTTTATTCTTTTTCCTATTAATGATTGTTTTGCCTATATTTGTTGAAATAGATGTCATGTCTGTTTAGTGTCATATTTGAAAGGACTTGCATTTTGTATATCTTTTTCTTTCTTCTAAAAATTTATTTTTATTGTAGTTTTACAAAAGTCTTAAAAAAAGGTAAAATTAAAAATGATCCTTTACCCAAGATAATTTAGAATATCTAGTCTAGAATTTCTTAGTTTTTCTCCATCATTGGCCTTGAGCTGGGGATGTATAGTAATCAGTCTCTACAATAACCCCCCAATTATCCTTGTGCCCTGCTATTCACACCCTTGTGTCATCTTCTTCTCTGAGTATGGGCTGCACTCATTGATCCCTTCTAACATACAGAATATTATAGAAGGGATAGAATTTCACTCCCGAGATTTGCTAATATTGTGGCTTCCTATTGAGATGTGCTAATACTGGGCTCCTTTGGCTCTTTGTTGCTGGCTCTGAGGGAAGCCAACTGCCATGTCCCTCACTGATGTGAGGTACCCTATGAAAAGGTACTCTTAAGCCTATCAATGGTCATGTGAGTTAGCTCAGAAGGAGATCCTATTAAAGTTGGAAGTATCAAACATTTGGGGCCCTTTTTTTATGGTAGTTGATTAGAACTGCTCTCCTCTACTGCTAAATATACCAAAACAACAATCTCCTTATACTATGTTATTTTTACTTTCAATTCCTTATTTTCTTATTTAAACAGGAAGGATCTCATTACCTTTATTGGTGATAATGACGGTCTACCTTCTTACATAATTTACAAATGGCAAAGGGATAAAGCAGACATAAAAATATCCTTAAGATAAATTAGGAGAATATTTCTAAAATGTTTTTTGGGAAAAACAAGACATTGTTTCTATAACTTTAAAAAACATAAAAGATGAAATTTCAAAGTTAGAAAAAAATGTTTTCTTGTTATATCCTATTATCTTTTACAGAAATTCATCTGCTAATCAGTTTTACGCATTCTGAATTTATATGAGTCAATTTTTAGGACAGGAGATGAGGCCTATTATTCTTATTCCACTATAAAAAGATAGAGACAAAGGGAAGAATAAAAATATAAGACTCTCTGGAGTTTAAGATAAAAATATTTGATATGGGAAAAATTGAAATATTAACACTGTAATTTTTTAAAGTACATGAAAACGTCCTCATTTCTTAAATAATGATTAGATAATTGGATGAATATTGGAATAACTTAAACACTCAAGGGATTTCTAAATAGTGTACCTCTTTTTCTTTTTATGAGTTTTTCATAAAATTATATTTTTAATCAACTCAGACATATTGAAATCAATTGTATTATAAGATATACTTGGTATTTGTTTTCAAATTTGTATATATTTTTTAGGTTATCAACATGGCAAACTACTTACTTTGGTAATGTTTTTTATAGTGAACCTTTTTTGAATGTGACTTTAATTTCTCAATATGTCAGCAAAACTGATACATTAGGATTTGACACTTCTTAGAGAGCATTCTCTCTTTTATAAGAGCAGGCTTTTCTCTAGTTAGAACTTATTTATTAAGCTTCCAAAATTAGCTCACTTTTTGCCATTAGAACTATGTCAAAATTCTCTATTATTTTTATAGTTATCCAATATGTATTGAAGAAAGAGAATTATTTCAAGTTGCTATTAGTCTAATTTTTCTAGACTTAAATGTAGTTCAAGAAAAGCCAGTTTGAATAATGGCAGAGTTAAGAACAGAATATTCCTGTGTAGTCAGGCATGAATCAAAGTCTACATGTCAATTACATTTCCTTCTTTCTGTTGCTGCATCTGACTTCTCCATCATGCATGTTATAAATATAAGAATATGGCCTGAATTCTTTTATTTTCAAATATTTATTTTCATTCTGAGCCAATCCAAGTAACTTCAAAAAACATTTTTCCTGATTGCTTCAGATTACATGCATCTATGCCTTCTTAACTTCAATATTACTAGATTGAATCCATGCAATTCAAGAGGAAGAATATTATACTACATTTATGTATTAGTTTATCCTTTCATTTAACTAACATTTTTTGAGTGCTAATCCATATTCCTTAAAATGATAGCACTTGTCTCATGAGGGATTTGGAAATGGATAAATCAGTGATAGGTAGAGTTTATTTTTTAATTTTAATTTCCAAATGAGTCTTCCAAGATAGTTTTCTAATCCTGATAAAATACAAACTTGATAGTTGCCAGGGTTTGAATATGTCCCCCCAAAAAAGCATATGATGAAAATGTAATTCCCAATGCAACAGTATTAGGAGGTGTGGTTTAATCAGTAGTGAATAGGCTACGAGGGCAGAGTGAATGAATTAATGCTGTTATCAGGAAAGTGAGTTTGTTATTGCTGGGGTGTCCCCCTTTAGTCTCTCTCTTACCCTCCACCAGGAGGTGACACAGTAAGAAGGTCCTCACCAGATGCCAGTACCTAGATCTGAAACTGCCCAACCTCCAGAACTATAAGCCAATAAATGTGTTTGTTATAAATCACCCAGTCACAGATATTTTGTTATAACCTCATAATACAGAATAAGAGAATAGTCAAATACCAATTCATGAATATCTACTAGTTATCTGACACTGCGCTTAATGATGAAAAATAGTCTATTTGGGAATATTCTAGTGCTCTTGGTATGCAGAAAAATTAAAATACATGAAATAACAAAAATAATACAAGGTATAATTTTAGGATCTTAAAATATGTTTTTGCCAGAGTTCGAGCCAAAAGTTAGAGGTTTTTTATTAATCCTCTGTGAAACATCAATATGGCAAGAGATCATAGAATAAAAAACTCAGTAGAAGAGTTGGTTCATGTATTTTAAAGGTCAGGTGGGTCTTTCAAGATTGGATTCCTAATCCTGATAAAATGTGAACTCAGGAAAGCCTTTCTACTTTGAAACCCAGAAAGACCAGGAATTTGATCCTTAATATTGTTTTAATTTCTGTGAAACGTATAATGAAAAAAATTGAGGTTAGACACTTTAGATAAAATATATAAAGATAATTAAGTGGTACTATAAGTCTCCAAAAGTTTTCCAAAAATGACTGCCAGTCAATACAAAAGGATTTTTTTTTCCCTGAAATCCATGATTCTAGCAGCTTTTCAATTTTGGTTTGGTTCCTGATTGAAAAAGAAGAAACAAGATTCTTAATAGTTTTCAGAGTTATATAATATTAAATATAATTAGGTAAGCAATAATTTATTATCCCTTTGGATAGATATGTATAATTGCTTTCTCTCTCTCTCTCTCTCTCACACACACACACACATACACACACACACACACCCCTAGGGAGTTTTTGAAATTGATTATTCATTGATTGATTTAACATGGGGCTTGTGGATATTTCCATAAAGATGAAAATTAAGAAAACACAGTATCCCTAGGTATTCATGAGGGATTGGTTCCAGGACTGCCTGGAAATAATACAGAATGTAAGATTCTCTAAATGACTGCGTTTCTCAAATCATTGTTATGATAGCGAAAGAAAGGGAGACTGTTATGCAAGAACATTCTCAGGGTGACCTTAAATCAAAAGTTTCCCCCTTTCTGATTTACAGAAATACCTGTAGAAAGTGGTGGTAATGCAACATCCTGAGATAAAAGAAGGACTAACCAGAAGATCCTCTGAATCTGTTCCAGTCCTCTCCGTAGAACAAAGTGTCCTTCAGTGTTTAAACCAATGTGTCATGTTGCCCCTGAGGTATATAAGCTGGGTTGTGCTGCTTTTGGGGGTCCCTTAGCTGTGGTGCAAGCAGGAAATTTACAAACAAGACTCCATCAATTCCAGGCCGCTTTTCTGAGCTTTGGGGGAGTAGCTATCAATGATTTCCAGGTTTATATTGTCCCTGGCTGCCTATCTGTGAGTAAGACATCTGCTTCAAATAAGTTGTGTATATGACTTGTATTCTGTATCACTGGTCCGAAACAAGATGGCAATGAGTGCAATAAACTTGCTTCACATTTATGGGATAAAAGAGATTTAATGCAGTTCCCAAACCTGTATAAGATGTTGAACTTAATGGCACACGAACAGTGATTATTTGTACATTTTACTTCTAATCTGAAATAATACATATTTTGAGAAAATAATAGCCTGAATGATTCTCTTTTCTCTCAAATTCCTGCCACAACCCAACCACTCAAGTGATTTTTACAATTAGTAGAGAATAGGAAGGCCTCTGGGACTTTGAGGAGTTAGTGTGGGAGGGGTAGGTTGAGAACATTTTTGCTTAGGGGAAGCCTAAGACTTCAGACTTTGGGTAGGAGTTTACCTTTCCATGGAGCTCTGCAGTTGCCTGGGAGAGACCCAGGATAGGAGAGGTTTGATGGCAAGCCTTTTTTCCATAGAAATCCCTTTAGAGCAGAAATGTATAGTGCCCTGGTCAGATTGTTGTGCCCAGGAATAACACAGAGAGAGGGTTGAGTATCGATCTGAGGTTGTCAAATCAACTGTACTTGATAAATTAGAAGTTTCCCTCACCAAAAGGAAAATCTCCAGCATGCTGTTTCAGTCATTGCTAGTTCACCACAGTATTTTCATCACTTGTCTGTCCTCTATTACTAGAGAGAACTCAGCAGTCTAAATTGCACAGATGTTCAATCCTATGCCTGCCGATATAAGCAGGCAAAGATAGATCACAAATTACATAAAGGGCACAGTAGGTTGAGGCATAAAGACTGGGCCAAACAAATTATTGCTCTTGCCAAGTACTTCAAACAGGGACACCCTGGTCAATTTTGTATAAATGAAGCAATAGTTCAAGATTTAGGAAGAAATAACTGGCTCTCAAAGGTCAAGGTCAGCACAGATATGGTATTTATAAAGGTGAATAATTCAAGATGAGTCTATATTTCAAAACATACCTAAGTAACCATTCCAAAATATCCTGTGTGGAGAAATTGGACTTAAAATGTGGGAGTTTACCTAGTCCAATAGGTACGGGAACTAGGTTAAGACAAAATCAAGGGTAAAGAGAACAGAAATGGTACTTGGTGTACTTATACTATGAAATACATAAATTTGTTACTTTTCCCCTTTAAAGACTTTTTTTTCCTCTGTGTGCATAAGAACAAATATATATATAAATTTAATAGAATATTACCATTGAGATGGTTATTTCATTACTGATATGGTTTGGCTGTCTAGCCACCCAAATCTCAACTTGAATTGTATCTCCCAGAATTCCTATGTGTTGTGGGAGGGACCCAGTGGGAAGTAATTGAATCATGGGGGCTGGTCTTTTCCATGCTATTCTAATGATAGTGAACAAGTCTCACACGATCTAATGGATTTATCAGGGGTTTCCACTTTTGCTTCTTCTTTATTTTCTCTTGCCGCTGCCATGTAAGTACCTTTTGCCTCCTGCCATGATTCTGAGGCCCCACCAGCCACGTGGAACTGTAAATCCAATTGAACCTCTTCCCAGTCTCTGGTATGTTTTTATCAGCAATGTGAAAAATGGACTAATACAGTAAATTGGTACCAGGAGTGGGGTGTTGCTGGAAAAATACCCAAAAATGTGGAAGTGACTTTGGAACTGGGTAACAAGCAGAGGATGAAACAGTTTGGAGGGCTCAGGAGAATGCGGGAAAGTTTGGAACTTCCTAGAGATCTGTTGAATGGCTTTGGTCAAAAGCGTGAAAGTATTATGGACAATAAAGTCCAGGCTGAGGTGGTCTCAAATAGAGATGAAGAACTTGTTGGGAACTGGGGCAAAGGTGACTCTTGTTAGGTTTTAGCAAAGAAATTGGCAGCATTTTGCCCCTGCCCTAGAGATTTGTGGAACTTTGAGTTTGAGAGAGGTGATTTAGTTGCATCTGGCAGACAAAATTTCTAAGCAGCAAAGCATTCAAGAAGTGGTGTGGGTGTTGTTAAAGGCATTCGGTTGTATAAGGGAAACAGAGCATAAAAATTTGGAAAATTTGCACCCTGACAATGTCATAGAAAACCCCATTTTCTGAAGAGAAATTCAAGCCACCTGCAGAGATTTGCATAAGTAATGAGGAGCTGAATGTTAATCCCCAAGACAACTGGGAAAATGTCTCCAGGGCATGTCAGTGGTCTTCACGGCAGCCCCTCCCATCACAGGCCCAGTGGCCTGGGAGAAAATGGTTTTGTAGGCTGGGCCCAGGGTTTCCATGTTCTGTGCAGCCTAGGGACTTGGTGCCCTGTGTTCCAGCCACTGAAAGGGGACAATGTAGAGCTTGGGCCGTGGCTTCAGAGGGTGCAAGCCTCAAGCCTTGGCAGCTTCTATGTGGTGTTGAGGCTGCAAGTGCCTGCAAAGTCAAAAATCGGCATTTGGGAAACTCTGTCTAGATTTCAGAATATGTATGGAAATGCCTGGATGCCCAGGCAGAAGTTTGCTGCAAGGGTGGGCACTCATGGAGAACCTCTGCTAGGACTGTGCAGAAAGGAAATGTGGGGTAGGAGCCCCCATACGGAGTCCTTACCTAGTGGAGCTGGGGCACCACCTAGTGGAGCTGTGAGAAGAAGGCCACCATCCTCCAGAACCCAGAATGGTAGATCCACTGACAACTTGCACCATTTGCCCGGAAAAGCCAAGACACTCAATACCAGCCCATGAAAGCAGCTGAGAGGGAGGCTATACCCTGCAAAGCCACAGGGGCGGAGCTGCCCAAGACCATGGGAACCCACGTCTTGAATCAGCATGACCTGGATGTGAGACATGGAGTCAAAGGAGATCATTTTGCAACTCTAAGATTTGACTGCCCACTGGATTTCAGACTTTCATGGGTCTTGTTGCCCCATTGCTATGGCCAATTTCTCACATTTGTAATGCCTGTATTTACCCAATGCCTGTACCACCATTGTATCTAGAAAGTAACCATCTTGCTTTTGATTTTACAGGCTTATAGGTAGAAGAGACTTGCCTTGTCTCAGATAAGACTTTTGACTGTAGACTTTGAGTTAATACTGAAAAATTTAAGACTCTGTGGGACTGTTAGGAAGGCATTATTGGTTTTGAAATGTGAGGACATGAGATTTGAGAGAGGCCAGAGGTGGAATGATATGGTTTGGCTGTGTCCCCACCCAAATCCCAACTTGAAATGTATCTCCCAGAATTCCCACATGTTGTCGGGGGGACTCAGTGGGAAGTAATTGAATCATGGGGGCCTGTCTTTCCCATGCTATTCTTGTGATAGTGAATAAGTCCCACAAGATCTGATGAGTTTATCAGGGGTTTCTGCTTTTGCTTCTTTTTCATTTTCTCTTGATGCCACTATGTAAGAAGTGCCTTTTGCCTCCTGCCGTGATTCTGAGGCCTACCAACCCATGTGGAAGTTTAAGTCCAATTAAACCTTTTTTTCTTCCCAGTCTCAGGTATATCTTTATCAGCAGCATGAAAATGAACTAATACAGTCACATTTTAGGTAATGAAAAGGAAAAAAAGAAGAGCATGTAGATAAGGGTGAAATATTGCTTCTCCAAAGCAATTATTAAGACAAAAATATCTTTTCCACATTTTAGTTAGAACTAATAATCATAATAAAATAAGTTTAGGCATATACACTATATAACTGAATAATATTGATGAGTAAAAACAGAATTGAAAGATACAGTTATTCACTTCCTTAAGCCTGTATTTTAAAGTGACAACTCCAAAGACCAAAGAATGGAAAGCAGAATTGTAGAATAGAATGGCAATATGAATAACAAGGGCTTACCTATTTTTTCAAGTTGCCTAGTTCTTTCATGAATTAAAATGGACTGAAGGGTACTTAAAATGTATACCTCTCTGAAAAGAAAGTAGCTACTTTCAACACAGCATACCAAAGGAGTATTAAATATGGATTAAGGAAATATAAAAAAGATTAAACAAATAATTAATTACATTCCTGGTAATTTTTACTACTTTTATCTTTAAATAAGTATAAATATTTACTTTTTTAAATATAAATTTTAATAAATTTATTCAGGTTGAAGATAACTTGAAGACAGGCCTGGAAAATGTTAAAAATAGTAATTATTGATGAAATTATAATGAAATAGCATACTTATTAATGGCATTCGTAATAACCTTGTCATTGAGAACAAAATAGAACAGTTTAAATTGTAAATATGAAAGTATAAAGAATTTTATTTATAAAGATAATACTATTAAGCTAATTTTTTAAGGGAACATTTCTGAAGCTGACAAGTAAAATAGGAAAGCAATAGGATTAAATATACTTACATATCTTAACATTTTTATGATCAAAATAAGCCTCCTGTATTTTAAGCACATGTCAAAAAATCGCTGTTATCGGTTTCAAATCCTATACCTAATATCTTAGGGAATGTATTTTGCTACTCCAGCCACTTGAAGGTGCAATTACTGAATAATAATTTTATAACACATGAGACTTCCTGGAACATTTTGAAAGGCTGATATGCAATAATATCCTGAAACTGTAAATTATGTTAGTTATAATGAAAAACCAAGCTTTGTCAGCACATATTTATTCGTATTTATCCTGGTGAAAAAGAATTGTTTCAAAGTATTTTCCAAAATGAACACCAGGTATGATAAAACCTATTCAAATAGAAGAATGATACTAATAGATAAAAATATATCTAGAGGCAGAAGAAAGGCTTGCAGTCACTAAAAAGACAGAAAAGGGTACAAAGTCACGTTTTTTTTTCACTTAAAACACATAAACTGATTTTGAAAAATATGTAGAAGAGAAAATGCTAAAATATATTAATATAAAGAAAATATTTGTGTTCACGGTTGGCCTTATGCTTGTATATACTTAGAAATCACAGATGAACGCACCCAACACTACTCTACATCTGGCCACCAATTTCTCTCAAAACAACTTCCCTATTTACCCAATTAGTAATACATAAACCACATAGTATTCAGTACTTTATGTTGAACACCAATAGACTCACCCTAAAATATATAATTATCTGAGTTGATAGCTAAACAAAACTCGATGCTTGAGATTGTGTATCTACTTTTTAAATTATTTTTTATTTTTAATTTGCATATTAATGTGTGTACTTGTGGGCATATAACGTAATGTTTTGATGCATATATACATTGTGTAATGATCACACCAGGATAATTGGCATATTCATCATCTCAAGCATTTATCATTTTTTAGTGGTAAGAACATAAAAATTCCTCCCTTCTAGCTATTTTAAGATATGCAATATGGACATGCATCAGTTAACTAGGGAGACAGCTCTGAAAAATGCATTGCATGTACTTTTACAAACCTAGATGTTATAGCCCACTACACACCTAGGCTATTGGAAATGGCCTATTGCTCCTAGCCTAGAAACCTGTACAGCAAGTTACTATACTGAATACTACAGACAATTATAACACAATGATGTTTGTATATCAAAAGCATATGTAAACATAGAAAAGCTACGGTAAAAATATGGTATAAAAGATGAAAGATGGTACAACTTTATAGAGCATTTACCATGTATAAAGCTTGCATGACAGGAAGTTGCTCTGGGTGAGTCGGTGAGTGAACACTGTGAATGTGAAGGTGTAAAACATTATTGTACACCACTGTAGACATTATAAGCACTGTACACTTAGTCTACTCTAAATTTACATTTTATCTTCCATAAAAATTAACTGTAGCATACTGTAACTTTTTTAGTTTATAAACTTTTTTAACTTCTTGACTTTTGTCATAACACTTAGCTTAAAATACAAGCACACTGTACAGCTGTATAAGGGTATTTTATTTCTGTATGTTCTTATTGTATAAACTTTTTTATTTTTAAAATGTTTAGGGTTTTGGTTTTTTTACTTTTTATACTTTTTTGTTAAATGCACACTTTAGCTTAGGCCTCCAAA
The DNA here is from genome assembly GCF_000001405.40 of Homo sapiens. NCBI lineage: Eukaryota > Metazoa > Chordata > Mammalia > Primates > Hominidae > Homo > Homo sapiens. The sequence continues at coordinate 57,035,867 of NC_000010.11, forward strand.
GAGTCAGGATCATCAATGTTACTGTCTTCTACCTCCACATCTTGTACCACTGGAAGGTTTTTCAGGGACAATAACATGCATGGAGCTCTCATCTCTTATGATAACGATGTCTTCTCCAATACCTTCTGAAGGACATGCCTGAGGCTAGTATACAGTTATCCTTTTTTTATTTAATAAGTAGAAGGCATACACACTAAAATAACAATTAAAAGTATAGTGCAGTAACTATAAAAGCCAGAAACATAGTTGTTTATTACAATTATCAAGTATTATATACTGTACATAACTGTACATGCTATGCTTTTACATGATTGGCAGCGTAGCAGGTTTATTTACACCAGCATAACATAAACTCATGAATAATGTGTTACACTATGAAGCTACAACAGCTACAATGTCACCAGGCAATGTGAATTTTTAGATCTATTATAATCTTGTGGGATCACAGTTATATATACAGTCTGACATCGATCAAACCATTGTTATGATGCTCACAGCTGTATCTTGTTAATTATAGTCACCCAACTATGCAATAAAATACCAGAACTTATTCTTCCTTTCTAATTGTGACTTGGTACCTGTTGTCCAACCTATCTCCATACTCTCTCTCCCTTTCCTAGTCTCTGGTGATCACTGTTCTATCCACTACCTCTAAGAGACCAATATTTTTAAATTCCACACATAAGTGAGATCATGTGGTATTTGTCTTTCTGTTTCTGGCTTATTTCACTTAACATAATGTCCTCCAGTTTCCTCTATGTTGTCACAAATGACAATATTTCATTATTTTTCTATTCATCCAGTTTTGGACATTTAAGTGGGTTCCCTATTTTGGCTCTTGTAAATAGTGCTGCAATAAACATGGAAGTGCAGATATCTATTCTACATACTAATCTCCTTTTCTTTGAATATATAACTAGCGGTGAGATTGCTCAATCATATGGCAGTTCCATTTTTAATTTTTTTGGTAACTTCTGTACTATTTTCTATAATGGCTTTACTAATTTAAATTTCCAGCAACAGTGTGTAAGGGTTTGCTTTTCTCTATCTTCTCATCAACAAATATTATATTTTGTCTTTTTGATAATAGTCATTGTAACTGGGTTGAGGAGATATTATGATATTGATTTGCATTTCTCTGATGATTAGTAATGCGGAGAATTTTTCATATACTTTTTGGCCATTTATATATCTTCTTTTGAGAAATGTCTATTAAGGTCTTTTATCCATGTTTTTAATTGGATAATTTGTTTTGTGTTATTGAATAGGGTTTTTTTTAAACATATTCTGGATATTAACCCTTTGTCAGATACGTGCAAATTGACAAGAGGTTAATATCCAGAATATATGTTTGCAAATATTTCATTCCATTCTGTGGGTTGTCTCCTACCTTTGTTAACTATTTTCTTTGCTGTGCAGAAGTTTCTTAGTTTGACCTAAACCCATTTGTCTATTTTTGCTTTTGGTGCCTGTGTGTTTAAGGTCTTATCCAAAAAAAAAATCATTGCCCAGTTCAATGTCATGAAGCATTTCTCGTATGCTTTCTTCTAGTAGTTTGATAGGTTTGGGTCTTACATTTAAATCTTTCATCCATTTTGAGTTGATTTCTTTATGAAGAAAAATACGAGCCTAGTTTCATTCTTTTATATGTCAATATTCAAATTTCCCAAAACTATTTATTGAGGAGACTATCATTTCCCCAATGTGTGTTCCTTGCAAATCTTATCAAAAATTGCATCCACTTTCATATCCATTCTCTAATAGATAATCTATAATACTGAGTCAATTTTGCTATTAGAATGCAGTGGGAATTCTACTTAAAAGTTTGTTGGGCTGAAGGAAAAGCTTTATGCTGTTTTATTTGTCCAACTTTAAACTGATGAAAGATCTATTTGTCTCCTTTCTCTCTCCCTAAGCTCTTTCTGTGAAACATGAAATTTGTTTCAAAGTGAGACTGTAAATAAGTACAGTGAAGCCCTTCAAACACACTTAATATGTTTTATGTTGAAGAATAAAGACAGAGCTGCAATTTAATTAGTGTGTCAATCTTGATTAGAAACACAATTGTTCTAAAATGGAACTCTTAGAGGCCAGATAACATTTATTTTGTGAATTGTTTGTGATTGAACCACTTGAAGAAAATGAAGTTAAGCCATCCTATTACACATGGAAGATAAAGCATTGAAGTTTCTTGCTGATACGATTGAATATTTCTCAATATATTAAAATTATAAATGTAAGCTAAATATGGTCAAACCATTTGGAACTCCTTTCAATCAAAAGCAAGGTCATTTTTTAAAACAAAATAAGAATTAAAAATTACATAACAGGATAAAAATGCAATAAAGCTACAGAAACAAATAGAAACACAAAAAAATACAAACAGTTGGAAGAGGGACAATACAAACTAGCGTTAACTAGATGTGAGCCTGTTAACAGTGGTCCAGAGCACACAATTAGTTATTTAAATACAGACTACAGAGGTAAACATTTGTTAGAAATATATAATAATTAATGAGATTACAAATGCATGTTAACAGGTGTGCTAATAATGGACTCAAGTCATGAGAGTAAATACCAAACCAGGGGTACAGCATATATATACATATACATATATATATATATAATGATTGTATGTGATTATATAGATAATCATATTTAAGATCAGTTTATTTGGCTCATAAGGAAAGATTAAAGGATAAATAAACATTTTTGAAATTTAAAAATAGTAATAGAATTTTAATGTGCTGGGTAAAGCATAACTTTGCATATTGTTGGGATAAAACTATTTTCTGCTCCAAAAAGATACATTAACTTCAGAATGACCACTTACCCATCTGGCCTCACTCTTCTTTCACATAATCCTATGATCGTTATCCCAGATGCTTCTTACCAAACATATCATTGAATACGTCTCAGAAATTAAAAAAAAAAGGAGAAAAACAAGTGAGAGTGCCACTAGGATGGATTTAAATCACATTATTTTAGTGAAATAATCCTGGCACAGAATAGTATACACTACATGATTTCAAAAGTAGTTTATGGTGGCAAAATAAGAAAACTGACTGTCTTTGGGAAGGACGAGGTACACTGAAAAGTGGCACACTGAAACATTTTGGAGTGAGAGAAATGTTTTCAATCTTGTTTGGCCTGGTGGCTATTCCAGTTCATACATTTGTCATAACTGCTGACTCAAACTGTATTTTTAAAAACTTTGCAAAAATTTATTCTATGTAAATTATACTTCAATAACTAAAAATAAACAAATATTGGAGAAGAAAGTGACATGAGAAAAAAATCATAACAAATTTGTTGATCTAGGATTTCTGGATTTACAACAGGATCTATGGATAGTCTTCAACTCTTTAAACAATGTAAATACATCTTGGGGAGAAAAAAATGTGCCTTTTCCTAAATATGTGAGTTATCATCAGATTATCCAAAAGGTCTGTCAATCTCCAACAACTCTAAAAGCCTTGGTTAACCCCCTAAATTTACAAATAAGAAGCTGTTTTCTCAAGGACACATAATTTATTACCTTGTGTTCTATCATATTTTCCTAATTAGTGCCATCTCCTGCAGTACCAAACTAATCTCATGTGCAAACCTCTGAAAAATGGTAGCCATGAGTTTTCAACTTTATGTGTCAGAAAAATAATTTACATGTTACAAATTGGTTTTAAACACAAACAATGGTTGCCTAAATTAAAATCCATATTGTGAAAAATAAAGTGGAATAGATAAAACCTGCTTTGCTGGCCGGGCACAGTGGCTCAAGCCTGTAATCTCAGCACTTTGGGTGGCCGAGGCGGGTGGATCAAGGGGTCAGGAGATCGAGACCATCCTGGCTAACACGGTGAAACCCCGTCTCTACTAAAAAAAATACAAAAAATTAGCCGGGTGTGGTGGCAGGCGCCTGTAGTCCCATCTACTCGGGAGGCTGAGGCAGGAGAATGGCGTGAACCCGGGAAGGCGGAGCTTGCAGTGAGCCGAGATTGCGCCACTGCACTCCAGCTTGGGCGACAGAGCAAGACTCCGTTAAAAAAAAAAAAAAAAAAAACCTGTATTGCTAACACGGTAAAGTTTAAAAGCTAGAGTTTATTTTTAGTATACACAACTATTTTTTGTATGTTAATTTTATTTCCTGAAATTTTACTGGATAAACTTAACCAAGGCCATGAAAGACTTATTCACTGAAAATTACAACACATTGATGAAAGAAATTAAAGACACAAATAAATGAAAGATATTCAGTGTTTATAAATTGAAAGACTTAATATTGTTTAAATATCTATACTACTCAAACAGTGATCTACATATTCAATGCTACTTCCATCAAAATCCCAATGGCATTTCTTACAGAAATAGAAAAAAAAATCAATCCTAAAATTCATATGGAACAATGAAAGACCTAGAACAGTTAAAGTGAACTTGAGAAAGAAAAACAAGCTATAGGCATCACACTTCCTGATTTCAGAATGCAATACAAAGTTACAGCAATTAAAACAATATGATACTAGCATAAAGACAGACATAGGAACCTGTGGAAAAGGATGGAGGGCCAAAAATCAATCCACACATTTACAGATCAATGGGTACAAGACATGTGGCACACACATACAATATAATATTATTCAACATGGAAAACAAGAAAATTCTATCATTTGAGACAACGTGGTGGATCTGGAAGACATTATGTTAAGTGAAATGTCAGTCACCAAAGGACAAATACTATATGACTACACTTATATGAGGTATCTAAAATACTTAAATTTATAGAAAAAGAAAATAGAACGGTAATTGACAGGATATGGGGAAGGGGGAAATGGGAAGTTGTTCAATGAGTATAAATTACACTTCTAGAAGTTGAATAAATTCTAGATATTTGCTGTGCAAGATAATACAGTTAACAATATAGTGTTATGCACTTAACATCTGTTAAGAGGGTAGATCTTATGTTAAGTGCTCTTATTCCAAAAAAAAGCAAAGAGACACCAGAAAACATTTGGAGGTGATGACTATGTGTATTTCCTTGATTGTGGCAATCGTATCACACGTGTATGAATATGTCCAGATTCATCAAATTGTATACATTAAAATATGTATGTTTTTGCATATCAGTTATAGCTCAATAAAGCTGTAATAAAAGTTAGAGTTTAAATATTATGTTTTGAGTTGAATTGAGTGAGGATATTAGAAAATGTATGTATTTCAGAATCTGATATCCTTGACAATGACAATTACATTTTGTCTCAGTGAGGACAGTCAGGATTAAGAAAATTGTCTTTCAAAGTCCTGGTACAAATGGAAACATTCACAAAATATAATCTGTATTTGGGAGCAAGTATGCTGGGGTCAGAGCTGCTAACATCACAATCAAAGCAGGAGAGGATTCTCACCAGCATATTTTCACAACTTAATAAACCAAAACACCTAATGAAAACATTCATGCAGAGAGCAGACAACCAAACCAGTCATACTACAATGCTTTCTCTGTTCACCTGTGCTATAAACACTAAAACAAAAGGATTTTTAGCTCTGGTGGATGATTTCACAATAGTATCACAATTTATGTTGGAAAAATCACGAGAGTATTGCTTGAACTAGCAACTCTACCATAGGATAAACTTGCCTTTTCATGTTTTTCAAAAGAAAATATATGTTATTTATTGAACTCAATTTTTTTCTTCATTTTTTTTTCCTGGAATGTTTTAGATTCTCTGAATAGAAGTCTAGAGAGGTTTGTGCAGCAATATTATTTCATATACACTTCATGCCTTAAATGTATAGTAATACTTGACAAAATAGAGCAAGAAAAACCCACAAATACATAGCAGACCTTCAAAATAAGGATAAATATTTCTGAGAACCAGGAACAGAAGAGAAATGCAAAGTAGTGTGCAAGGGTACATGAGGGTGTCGACAGAAATGCAGCAGATATTGGCTAACACAGACTAAAGTGTTTTACTTACAATAAGGTTTAGAACTAGGATCAATAATAAGATATAGAGACTGCTCATGAAAGAAAGCTTAAACACAACCATTGCCAAGAGTTAACCTGAGACATTACATGTACCAACCAGTGGACCTGAGGAGGTAACTTACAAAGACACAGCTTTTTGAGCTGGAACTGAACCAATCATCACATTGCATTAGTAGCAGGCTTTATTAAATCCACAATGTAATCACAAATTAGGGAAACCTCACTGTTATTAGAAGAGCATATTCTAGGCTTTGGTGGGTGAAAACAATCCAAAAAATCATCAGATACAGAAAGCTAAGCCCATGGAGGGGAAAAAACCAAAAACAAACACAAAAAATTAGTGTCTAAATCCAAATTCTGTATAAGTACTGCACACTAATCAACTGCGCCACTGGAGCTCCTCTAAATCCAAATTCTAAATCAAAGTATAACATCTAATTCCATGGAAAGCACAGCACAAAAATAAACAGTACATGAATTAACTCAAATAAAATTAATTTTATAAAATGGATATAGAAAAATTATAATGTTTACTAATTTGAAATAATTGTTATCAAACTGATGCTTTGTACCCTTTGACTATCATCTCCCCAATCCCCACTTTGTACCTCATATATATATACAACTAAAATTTGTCAAAATATAATAAAAATAATCATATATTACTCAAAATTATAAATTACTAATTTTAAAAAACAACTGTAAATCAATAGACAGAAATGAAATCAGGGCAACTAGGTAAAGATTATAGCAGAATTGTGGGACAATGTAAAACATAGGGCCAGGAATTAATAACACTGTACATATCAGTACTAAGATCAGCTGAAGAGAGAATGAGCAACTTGAAAAATAACACTGAATAATACATGTAAAATACACTTCATTTAGATTTGTTTCAAATAAATTGCTAAGTGTAATTTTTTCCCATTTTATTTTTTTTTGTTTCTTTCTTTACCAAGGGGTACTAATATTCTTTCTATTTTTTTATTTTGTAAACATTTAAACAAAATTTCATTTTTTAACTTTATTTATATCTTTTGCTTAATTTTTTTAATAGCTAAATATTTAGTATTTCTTTTTTTATGTTTTCTGGGTTAGCTTGTTTTAAAAAATGTAAAACATTATACAGATATTCACTTATTTTTTCTAATCTTTTAACACTCAAATTTTTAATGTATGTGAAATTTAATTTTGCATCTTGTGAGCTGTGAGATAATCTAGCTAATTTTGACAATATCATATGTCAAAAAAATTCCTTTCTCTGCTTAATTAAAATAGCATCTTTCTCAAATGTTTAGTTTCATTATTCATTTACATTTTTTTAGGAGTTTCCTATTAACCCCAAAGGTCTATTTTTTAAGTTTTATAAATTCTATGTAATTGCTATTACAATAACTGAAGTAAATTATGATGTTGTAACAGTAATTTCAAACACAAACAGTTATATCTTGTGTGCTACTATATAGAGCTTAAGAAAATGTGGCACATATACACCATGGAATACAATGCAGCCATAAAAAATGATGAGTTCATGTCCTTTCTAGGGACATGGATGAACCTGGAAACCATCATTCTCAGCAAACTATCGCAAGGACAAAAAACCAAACACCGCATGTTCTCACTCATAGGTGAGAATTGAAAAATGAGAACACATGGACACAGGAAGGAGAACATCACACATCAGGGACTGTTGTGGGGTGGGGGGAGGGGGGAGGGATAGCATTAGGAGATATACCTAATGCTAAATGACGAGTTAATGGGTGCAGCACACCAACATGGCACATGTATACATATGTAACAAACCTGCACGTTACGCACTTGTACCCTAAAACTTAAAGTATAATAATAATAATAAAAACTATAAAAAAGAGGACTTACAATACTAGAGTTTATAGAAGACAGAATTGTTATAATTTTTTTTTACCATTTTAATATGGTAGTTAAGGGAGAAAGTGGCACATAAATCATTTTCAATTATAAAGCCTTTGCTACAAAATGTATGGTAATATATTAACTTAAATACCACCATAAGAATAGACAGTAGAGGCAGAGACAAAGACAAATGTAAGACAAGTTGAATCTCAGGTTTCCAAGGGATAGAGGCCAATATGTCAACTAAAATTAAAAGCAGAGCATTCAGGTGGACAATCAAACATAAAGACATAAATTACAGATTTTTCCGTATGTGATTGTGAGGAAAGGTGAAGCGACTAAAATAAACTGTCCAAAGAGAAAATAAAAACATAATAAATACTAAATATTTTGATATTCCTCTATTTAATAAATGATCAGAAAAGAAAGTTAGAATACTAGAATGAGAAAGAATGTCAAAATGTAGAAGTAAGAATTAGTTTTTCGTGGTTCCAGTAGAAAATCTGAAAAAGTGAGTAATGAACCTCCAAATATCACCATGCTACTGTGCACTTGTATCATGAGGAGAGATACATAATCAGCTCCTTCAAAGAATTTGTGAATGTTCTTATATCACGAACACAAAAACATGACTTCAAATAAAATTTATAAAATGTGTTTGATAAAATTCATCTTCTTAAAATATCCCTTCATTGCCAGTGAACCTTAGTTATGTCATCTCTATATTTGTTTTTATATGATGATAAGCATCTCAATAAAATATAAAATGCTCTGAAGGCATTAGACATCATTTTGAGGCTTCCTTTCTTCCTTGGAAGAACCACTTTTCAACATGAATGTCCTTGAATTACACTGTTGAAATTTCCAGTGTACTTACTTCAATAAATAAGAAACTTCTAATAGAATGATTTAATTAAACCAGCTAAATAATATGACACAGCTATCATAATATGATAATGCTTATTTATAATGTGGCTGATTTGGTAAAACCTTGAAATTGCTTTTATTTATTTCAAGAGTAGTCAGCAGGCTCTAAGAGTAAATGAATAATTCAATAATTAATTCAACACCCAATTATTAAGTGCCTAACAATTTCTACTACTTCTCAGACTATAGCTAGTGGAAAGATAAATAAAACACTAGTTCTTCATTTAGTGAGAGGGCAGTCAAGCAAATAATTACAAACACTATGATAAGTGTTATGATATAGCTATGTTTTATGTGCTATTAGAATGAGGCTGTCTTTAATGGAACATTTCAAAAAAGTGTGATCAGAATTAAGATGACAGAAATACATATTAAGATTAGGTTATAAAGTTATTTTTCTGCATTCTATAAAGTGTCAAGTCCCAATTAAATTTCCTAAGAAAGTACATGAAATAATCACATTTTCATTTTATAATGAATCCTTTGGGGCAGTTTTGAATGTTGTATTTTTATAAGGAGCAAATGTGAGCAAGGAGGCCAGGTAAAATACTACTACACAAGTCCTGACAATAAAAGATCAAGATCTAAGCAAAAACAGTGGCAAATACCATGAAATTCAAGAAAAATTCAAGAAAGAGAAAAGTTTGAGAAAAATACTAAGGGTAGAATCTAGATAATTTGTAAAAAGTTCTATGTGGAGGTTTCATGGATGTGAGAATTTAAAGATATCTTGACACTTTCTGTCTTAAGTAAATGATAATGCCATAAAGATAAGGAATACCACTGTCGGAATATAATTAAATGGAAGATATGTTCAATTATGCATATACTATAGATGTCCAGAAGGAAGTGAAGTATACATATTCCAGAGTGTGTATCTAAGATTTAGAGATCTTTAGCAGATCGTGAATGGGAAGTACACAATTTAATCAGAGCTTCTTCCTTTGAGAATGCTGACTAAACAATGTCAAATATTTGTTCTTAAGTCTTCTTCAAATTCCCACACATATTTCCATATTTCCACTTGCACATTATTAAAACGTAATTTGTATGATTAAATCTCAGATTTGCTTATATTGTAAAAATGTGAATTATTGCATTGGAAGTGGGGACATTCCTCTCTTAGCACCAATGCTTTTACAAAATGTTTCTAATCTTGCAGATAGTTAATACCTTCCCTTTAATCGATGGTATAGCATCCTAGTCTCCTATTGACAGAACACCACATTTTATGATACAACCAATGTAGACCTTGGGGCATCCCTATAGACTAGGCTTAATGTCTCCTCTACTTGCAATTTAATTCAAATCTTTAGTGTTGTTCTTCTACTCTCACACCTAAAATCCAGAACTTACGACAAATAGTGTCATACATCTTTCTCATGCCTCAATGTTTACATTTTTCAAACTAAATGTCCTGTCTTCTCTCCAAACTTCTTGCTCCTTTCAATGTGCCCAAATCTTCTAAATATTTGTATATTGGAAGAAACAACATAGTTAATTCCAACTCCCATTTCTATATTCAGTTAGTATTCATGTATGTATTTTACTATCTATTCTCTTTTTCATTCCATTTTTCATCCTAGCCACATTCACTATTTATCAGGGTCTCTTTTTATGCCTAGAATACTCTAATAGTTTCCTAATTGTTGAGCACTATTTTCCCTCCACTAAACTCAGCATTTAAAACAGATGATTAATGGCTAGATTACAGGGAAGAGCTTACACACTGATAAAACATTTTAATGCATTTTTGAGTTCAATAAAATATATTAAAAATTCAGAACTGTGTTCAAGGTACAGAGTAACTGCTATTTAATGTTTCCTATTTTAGCATTATTATTTCTAATATTTAGTTAAACGTGTTGTAAATATATTTTCCCATTTTGTGACTTTTGTTCTTTTACAATGAATAAAATTTTATATTTCAAGGTAGTTTAGTTTTTTAGTTAAAATAATCCTAATCTTAGTATTCTAAACCCTTCATTATATGGGAGAAATTTATATTTCTAAATTTATATTTATATAAATATTAAATTGATATTTCTAAATCTCATATTTTCTTTGAATATTAATATAAGGCATATAGATTAACTTCAGTATTCCCAGCCTATCCCAAATTTCTGAACTCCATGGTTCTTCTCACATTTTTCTCTTGCCTTTTCTTATCTTCCTTAGGAGCTCTGCATAATAGAATTCTACTTATTTACAAAAACTTGACTCAAGTGACTTATTTTACTCTCATAGCTTTTCTGTTGAAATCTCTCTTTAATCTGAAATCCCCACAAGGGTATAAAATCTCATGTATTTATTACATTCTACCTTGGATTATATTTAATGGCAAACGATTATCATTTGGCCCTACGTACATAACATTATTGTTATAAGCAATAAACTCAAATGATTTATTTAAATACATCAAGATATATAAATAGATGGCATCGTTGTTCTTCAATCAGTGAATCTATACAAACTCATTGTCCCAAGAGGCAGCAATACTTTTAATAATCAAAGTTGAAAGAGTAACTCTATATGAAAACTATTTGCCCATTGCTTTTAATAATTCTTGATCTGTGTAATTTTTATGTTCTCCTCTACTCCTTAAGCCTAGTGTTTCACATAGTTGTTCAACAAGTTTTTGAATAAAAGAAAATATTAACTAAAAAAGAGATCTATTAAATAGTCTCTTTTAAGTTACTATTGTTACTCACTTAAATATTTTTGCCTCAACATTCTTCTCCCATAAACTAAAGTGAAAATATAAAATCAGGCTGATCTCCCTATTGTTTCAGTCTTTTCTTTTGACTCTTTTCCTCCTACCTGGCCATTTCATGCTCCTGCAATCAGGGGTACTTACTCCCCAGCCCTTGCTTGGGTAAACAGACACAAGTCTGCTCCTGACAGCCTGCTAGTGTCTTCTCACAGCAAATCCACATACTGGAAAACACCTACTTTTGTCTGTACACAGATATCAGACTTGATTGGTTGTTTCCTTCAGAGTTAAAATCAGAAAAGTGGTTCAGAAAATTTGACAGTAAAAAAAAAAAAAAACAGGCACACTGTTACTCTAGAATTAATTACCATACTGAAAAATTTGCTTTTTTGATGATTGCTCATTATTCTGTTATTTCACAAGTTATCTGACCAACACACATTTATTGTTCCAACAAAACTGAGCAATCAACTCTGACAGTTTAAAAAAGTTTTTCTGTTAAGTACCAGAAATTCAGCAAAATATGCATTGCTTTTCCCACATGGCAATGACCTCTATAAAACTCAAAATAGCAATCTTCCATTTTAATGACAACTGAGCTATCTGAAGCATGCACAGTTGATATAAAATTCTGAATTCACAACAGGAAACCAAAGACAAGGGGTACAAAAATTTCTGCGATGGAGCAATTCCTTTCAAAAACCAAATAATAGGTGTACCCATTAGGATAATTATAATTTATTGCAAATATTTGCACTAATACATTATTTGCAATCTTTCACTTAAAAAGAAGAGGATCAGTAAACTTGTTAAAATATTTTTTGTAAATATGACCCAAGAATTGGAAAGGGCTTCACAAGGAAATCATTTAGTATTAAAATTACATTTTATATGTTAGAGGAGGGAAAGGGAAAGGAAAAAATATCACTCATGCTCACAAAACCTGTGAGAGAGAACATGTGGTAGAAGAGCAATGGGAAGTGGAAAAAGATGATTTCAATTCGATGTGGCCACTTTCACTGAGACTTCAGGCAAGTGACTTAAATATTGTGCAATTTGATTTCCTCAGTATAAAAAAAAGGATTAAAAAGAATGGTCTTACCTACATAACAGTATTATAATAAACAATAAACTCAAAAAATTTATTTAAATACATCAAGGTATTATATAAATAGATGGCATCACAGTTTCTCTTCTGAGAATCAGTGAATCTGTACAAACTCACTGTCCCAAGAGAAAACAATACTTTTAATAATCAAAATTAAAAGAATAACTCTCTATGAAAACTATTTGCCTATTGCTTTTTGAGGAGTCTAATAAACCCATATCTTTAGTCAGCCACCTGTGAGGTAATTTTGTTTACATCATTTTTTTCTACCTATTTGCAATTCATAGAAAAAAACTGCAATAATGCTTGCAGCATTCTTTTTCTTTATAATTTTTAAATTAATTCACTGCCTAATATAGTAAAATCTGAATAAATAATTTGGAAACCATACAAAAGGTAAAATGGCCATATTTGTTTGACTAAATTACCTTTTCTTTTTTATTTGAAAATAGAGGTTTTTAAATTAAATTATTTGTGTCAAAATATGTTGAAATGTAGTCAGGACAAGATGGTGTATGTGCACTAGTCTCAACCCTAAAGAAGTTCCAGAAGTGAAACACTGAGGAAACTTTGGAGCAACAGATGGTGATTTAGATCTTGGTATTGGAAGCAAATGGCAGAAGATAAACGAGGGGCAGTTGCCACAGAACTTTCTAGCTGTATTATTTTCTTAACTCCACTCTTTGCTGGGTGTGGCTTGTTAACTCCCCCAAAGCCATCTTTGGGCATGAAACACAGCAGTACTCATGCTGCATGACCTACAAGAAGATGTGATACCCTAAGGCTAGTTGACACTGGAAGTGAACGCAGCAGCCAGCAAACTAGCAGGTCCTGAGAATTGTCTTTACTCCTTCCCTTCAGCAAATAGCAGGCCATGCAATTCTAGCAGATAGCTGTGGGATTACCTGGAGAACAGAGGGAGAGATTTAAACCAGATTGCAACACCAACATCTCCTAGCTGTCTCCTGCTTTACTGTCTGCTCTTGGTCACCCTCTGCAAACAAACTTATAAGCACAACTACTGCTGACAATCTCTCCTTTCTCCCCAAGTACACCTTACTAACATACGATCTGTGAAACACACTAGTGTTTCTTCATTCACTATCTCAAGCCAAGTGAGAAGGACTTTAGAACCACTTAAAGCATTTAAACCCCAGAGTATGAAGAAAATGTGATTGTTATCAGACTTAGGTTTGAAAAATTCTAAAGTCTGGAGCCTGGTGGGAGGGCCCGCGGAGGCAGAACGAAGAAAGGAAGCTTTACTGGATGGACTTACACTTCCAGTATTCGATAGGTACAGTTAAATAGTTCCTTCTCAAAAGACAGACTCCAAGGAAGAAATGTAGGCTTTACTGATAAAAATAAACACAAAACAAAACTTATGTAAGACTTGGAGTTGAGAGGGGAAAGGAGTCAGTGAGGAATGATTGCTGGAAGATTGGAGGAGTGAGGTAAGTAACGAGCCAGAAGAGTCTGGACAGCTCAGGGAATTGCAAGTCTCTGAAGAACCCAGGAAAACATCTGACCAGTGAAAATGTATGGATATGCAATGTCGTGCGACAGCGTCAATACAGTTGCAACTTCACCAGTCAAGTGAAACTTTTCTACACTTCACCTCTCCTTCTTCCATCTACACTGGACATGCTAGAAGCAGCAAAGAGAGTAGAACAGAGAAGTAGAAAAACAGGTGGGGAAATAGTAAGAAAAAAAGTATATTTTATACTCCCTTAATGACTAGGATACATTCTGACAAATGTATTCTTAGGCAGTTTCATCATTGTGTGAGCATTATAGAATGTATTTTCACAAACCTAGATGATATAGCCCACTACACACCTAGGCTACATAGTATGGCCTACTGCTCCAAGCCTACGAACCTGTACACCATGCTATTATACTGAATACCATAGGCAATTGTAACATAATGGTAAGTGTTTTTGTATCAAAAACTTATATAAACATAGAAAAGCTACAGTAAACATACAACATAAAAAATAAAACCATGCACCACTAAAGAGCACTTATCATGAATAGACATTCAGGACTGGAATTTGTTATGAGTGAGTCAGTGCGTGAATGCAGAGTGAATGTGAAGGTCTATGACATCATTCTACACTACTATAGACTTTATAAACACTATACAATCAGGCTTCAATAAATTTATAAAAAATAATTTTACTTTTTAATAATAAAATAATCAACTTACTGTGACTTTTTAAATTTATAAATTTTTTAATTTTTTAAACTTTCTGACTCTATTATAACACTTAGCTTAAAACACAAACATTCCTTACATTATATAGCAATACAAAGATATTTTCTTTCTTTATGTCAATACTCTATAAGCTTTTTTCTATTATTTTTTCAACTGTTATTTTAGGTTCAGGGGTTACATGTGCAGGTTTGCTGTATGGGTAAATCACATGTCGCTGAGGTTTGGTATATTCTGTCACCCAGGTAATTAGCACATTACCCAATAAATAATTTTTGAACCCATGTCCCCAACCTCCCCCATTAAATAGTCCCAGTGTCTATTTTTCCCATCTATGTTTCCATGTGTACTCAATGTCTAGATCCCACGTATAAGTGAAAACACACAGTATTTGGTTTTCTGTTCTTGCATTAAGTCTCTTAGGGTAGTGGTCTCTAGGTGTATCCATAAGGTCAGAAAGAACATGATTTCATTCTTTTTTATGGCTGTGTAGTATTCCATGGTGTTCATATACCACATTTTCTTTATCCAGTCTAGGAATGGAGGGCATCTAGGTTGATTTCATGTCTTTGCTATTGTGAATAGCACTGCAATA
Source organism: Homo sapiens (assembly GCF_000001405.40). Taxonomy (NCBI): domain Eukaryota; kingdom Metazoa; phylum Chordata; class Mammalia; order Primates; family Hominidae; genus Homo; species Homo sapiens. The sequence continues at coordinate 57,051,277 of NC_000010.11, forward strand.
AACATAGGAGTCAATGTGCATTTTTGGTAGAACAATTTGTTTTCTTATGATATATACCCACTATATATCATAAAGTTTTTGATAGGATATATAGTGGGTCAAATGGTAGTTACTGGGTCAAATGGTAGCTCTGTTTTATGTTTTCTGGTAAATCACAAAACTGCTTTCCACAGTTGCTGAACTAATTTACATTCTCTCCAACAGTGTATATGTGTTCCCTTTGCGCCACAACCTCACCAACATCTGTGGTTATTTGACTTTTAAATAATAGCCATTCTGACTGGTATGAGATGGTATCTCATTGTGGTTTTGATTTGCATTTCTTTGATGATTAGTAATGATGATAATTTTTTCATATATTCATTGGCCACATGCATGTCTTCTTTTGAGAAGTGTACGTTCATGTCCTTTGTCCATTTTTTAATGATGTAGTTTCTTGTTTGTTGAGTTGCTTAAGTTACTCAAGTTTGTGATTTTTTTTCCATTCTGTAGACTGTATGTTTACTCTGTTTATAGTTTCTTTTGTTGTGCAGAAGTTCTTTAGTTTAACTAGGTTGCACTTGTCAATTTTCGGCTTTGTTACAATTGCTTTGGAGGACTTAGTCATATTCTTTACCAACGCTGATATCCAGAATGTTGTTTACTAGGTGTTCTTGTAGTGTTTTTGTAGTTTAAGGTCTTACATTTAAATTGTTAATTCATCATGGTTTAATTTTTGTACATGGTGAAAGGTAGGGGTCCAGTTTTATTCTTCTGCCTATGGCTAGCCAATTATCCCAGTGCCATTTATTGAATAGGTAGTCTTTTCCCCATGGCTTGTTTTTGTCAGACTTGTCAAAGAGCAGATGGTTGTAAATGTGTGGCTTTATTTCTGAGCTTTCTATTATGTTCCATTGGTCTACATGTCTGTTTTTCTACTAGTACCATGCTGCTTTGGTAACACTTGTCTTGTAGCATAGTTTGAAGTTGGGTGTTTAATGCCTCCAACTCTGTTCTCTTTGCTGAGGATTGTTTGGTGATTTAGGCTGGTTTTTAGTTCTGTATAAACTTTAGAACAGTTTTATCTAAGTACCTGTAAAACCGTGTTGGTAGTTTGATAGGAATCTTTAGATTGCCTTGGCCAGTATGGGCATTTGAACAATATTGATTCTTCCTATCAATGAGCATGGAATGCTTTTCCATTTGTTTGTGTTATCTCTGATTTCTTTCAGCACTGTTTTGTAATTCTCATTGTAGAGATCATTCACCTCCTTGATTAGATGCATCACGAGGTATTTTGGTTTTTGGTGGCTATTGTAAATGGGATTGCATTCGTGATATGGCTCTCAGTTTGAACATTATTGGTATATAGAAATGCTACTGATTTTTTATATTGATTTTATATACTGAAACTGTATTGAAGTCATTTATCAGTTCTGCAGCCATTTAGTGAAGTATACTGTTTTCTGGGTATAGAATTGCAGTTGGTAGGCAAGATGGCTGACTAGAAACAACCAGAAGTAATATCTGCCACCAAGTGATTAGGACATCAGGAAGACTGGCACACTCCAAGCAGATCTTCAGAAGGAATGCATTCAGAATGGATGGAGGAAGGATACATACGCTATACTGAAGGGGGAGGAAGCCAGGAATGCTACAAAGGGCTACCACACACCAGGACTCATTTTTGACCCTCATTGACTCCTGGAGAAGGGAGGAGTTAAGCAGCTGGGGAGCAACCCATGGAACTCTAGAATCCTGGCAGCAGGGAATACACAACATCCATTGACACTTGAGCTGGCGGGGAGAGCTGCTAGACAGGTAGTAGGGGCAGGGCTTCAGTCTGTGTAGAGCCCATAGGGTTTGGTGTGGGAAAGTCTGCAGTGGAGCATGGCCAGGGATGCCCATCTCCCAATGCTCACCATACTCCTTTAGGAGAATTTAGCCTGAGGGGAACTATGAGACCTGAACAGAGCAGGGCAATCTTGCCTATGAGATGAGGCCAGAGAGATCAGAGTGCCCCCTGAGTCTGCTGGCCTCTCCCTGGTCCCTAGACTGGCAGTGCCTACTTGCAGTGCAGCCTTGGATGCGTAACTAGGGTGCTACCCAGGGACCAGCATCATAGCTTCTGCACTGGCAAACCATGTCTCATTGTTGGAGGGCACCAGCAGAGTGATCTCCAACAATGTGCACCAGCCTACCCACACCTTCCCTCCACTACAGCCTTTCCAGCACACACTAACCCATAGCTACCTCTCTCACTGCTTTGCCGGTGCACACGTGCACAGGAGGACCTTGCTTCTCAACCCCTGTCAATGTGGGTGAGCTTGTGCACCCCACTGTGCCATGCCATTGATGCTGGCCTGAACACACCCTGTCCCACCCCTCCGTGATATACTGCCGTTGCTGGAGTCCCCACCCCCAGCCAGTATCACTGCCACACATGTGAATGCATGCATGGAGATGTCCAGCCCCACGTTCGCCAGTGCCCTGCACCCATGCCTTAACCACCACCAAGGAAAACATGCACATGAACACAAGTGACCCCATGCATCCCATGATATACAGTCACTGCTGCAAATGTACACATGGAGGGTGACAGTCAGATACCTGCCAAATGCCTGCCAGTGCCCCACCACAGCCAATAAGCATGCACCCTACGGCACTGCCACTGTTGCTGGCATGTGCAAATGAGTACAGTTACCACTGTCACAGCCCAACTAAGCACTTTGGATGGCACTGCTGAACAGAGTGTGTGGCCAGTGGTCCAAGAACATCTCAGCTCCTCTAATGTAACAAACTTCTAACCTTGAAGTGCTAGAGAACAAAGTTGTGGGTCTCATTTCAGTCCCCCAGAGTAGGAATACGCAGCCCAGGAGTGCTGAGCTGAGCCTTGGTCCCTTAAAGTCTTTCAAAAACATAGCCATTGACTGAACCCATCTTAATCACAAACTCCCAACAACATCAAAGAAGATAAAAGGAAAAACAAACAAACAAAAAACATCCAAAGGCAACAACTTCAAAGGTTAAAGGAACATGAGTCCACATAGATGAGAAAATAAACAGTGCAGGAACTCTGGCAACTCAAAAAGCCGGAGTGTCTTTTTACATCCAAACAACTGCATCAGTTCCCCAACAAGAGTTCTTAACCAGGCTGAAATATCTGAAATGACAAAAATAGTATTCAGAATATGAATAGGAGTAAAGATCATTGAGCTTCAGAATGGCAAAATTCAATTCAAGGATTATAAGGAATACAATAAAACAAAACAGGAGACGAAAGATCAAATGGCTACTTTTAAAAAGAATCAAACAGATCTGATAGAACTGAAAACTCCCTTCAAGAATTTCAGAATAAAATAACAATTATTAACAGTAGAATTGACCAAGCTGAAGAAAGACTCTCAGGGCTGGAGGACTGGTTTTCTGAAATAACTCAGTCAGACAAAAATGAAGAAAAAAAATAAAGAAGAATAAACAAAACCTCCAAGAAATATAGGATTATATAAAGAGACCAAATCTATGACTCACTGGCATCCATGAAAGAGAGGTAGAGAATGCAAACAACTTGAAAAACATATTTCAGGATATCATCCATGAAAATTTCCCCAACCTCGTTAGAGAGGCCAACATTGACATTTAAGAAAAGCAGAGAATGCCAGCAAAATACTACACAAGAAGACCACCCACAAGACACATAGTCATCAGATTCTCCAAAGTCAAAATGAAAGAAAAAGTGTTAAAGGCAGCTAAAGAGAAGGTCATGTCACCTAAAAAGGGAAGCCCATCAGACTAACAGCAGACCTTTAAGCATAAACTCTACAATGCAGAAGAGATTGAAGGCTTATATTCAGCATTCTTAAAGGAGAGAAACTCCAACCAATAATTTCATATCCTGCCACATGAAGCTTCATAGGTGAAGGAAAATATAAGATCTTTTTCAGACAAGTATATGCCAAGGGAATTCAATAGCACCAGGCCTGCCTTACAAGAGGTCTTGAAAGAAGTGCTAAACATTGAAAGAAAAGACTGTTACAGGCTGCTACAGAAACACACTTAACTACATATCTCAGTTACACTATAAAGCAGCCACAGACACAAGTCTGCAAAATAACCAGCTAACAAAACAATGACAGGATCAAATCCACACATATCAGTACAAACCTTGAGTGTAAACAGCTAATTGCCCCTATTAAATGGCACAGAGTGGCAAGTTAGATAAGAAAGCAAGACCCAATTATATACTGCCCTAGAAAGACCCATCTCACATGCAATGACACCCAAGGACTCAAAGAAAAGGGCTGGAGAAAAACCAATCAAGCAAACAGAATAAAAGAAAAAAGTAGGGGTTGTTATTCTAATTCAGACAAAACAGAGTTTAATCCAACAAAGATCAAGAAAGACAAAGGGGCATTACATAATGGCAAAGGGCTCAATTCAACGAGAAGACCTACTATCTTAAATATATATGCACCCGATACAGGAGCACCCAGATTCATAAAGCAAGTTCTTACAGACCTAGGAAGAGAGTTAGATAACCATACAACAATGGTAATAGACTTCAACACCCCCACAGATAGTATTAAATCAACACAGAAAACTAACAAAGATATTCAGGAGCAGAACTGGACAATTGACCAAATGGGCCTAATACATATCTACAGAGCTCTTTACCCCAAAATAGCAGAATATGCATTCTTCTCATCTGCACATGGCACATACTCTAAAATGCACCACATAATTAATTATAAAACAATCCACAGCAAATTTAAAAAAAAAAAGCTAAGCACACTCTCAGACCACAGTGCAATAAAAATAGAAATCAATACTAAGAAAATCAATCAAAATCATACAAATGGATATTAAACAATGTGCTACTCAATGACTTTAAGGTAAATAACAAAATTAAGGCAGAAATCAAAAAATTATTAGAAACTAATGAGAACAAAGATACAACATACCAGAATCTCTGGGAGAGATAAAGCAATATTTAGAGGAAAATTTATAACACTAAATGCCCATGGTCCATTTTTCATGAAGCATATATGCACATCAAAAAGTTAAAAAGATCTCAAATTAACAACCTAGCATCATGACTAGTCCATACAAAAGAACAACAAATCTTGAAGTTTCTTTTTTGAAAGAATTAAAAAGATAGACCACTTGCTAGAATAATAAAGGACAAAAAGAAAGAAGATCCAAATAAACACGATCAGAAGTAACATAGGGAATGTTAACCACTGGCCCCACAGAAACACCCATACACACACACACTCACACACACGCGCAAGCCAAAAACAAAAACAAAAACAAAAACAAAAAAAAGGCCGGGTGTGGTGGCTTATGCCTGTAATCCCAGCACTTTGGGAGGCCGGGGTGGGCGGATCACGAAATCAGGAGATCGAGACCATCCTGGCTAACACGGTGAAACCCTGTCTCTACTAAAAATACAAAAAATTAGCCGGGCATGGTGGTGGGTGCCTGTATCCCAGCTACTCAGGAGACTGAGGCAGGAGAATTGGCGTGAACCCGGGAGGCGGAGCTTGCAGTGAGCCAAGATCACACCACTGCACTCCAGCCTGGGCGACAGAGCAAGACTCCGTCTCAAAAAAAAACAAAAAAAACAAAAAAAAAAAACAACAACAACCAAACAAAAAACCCTTCGGAGACTGCTTACGAATACCTCTATGCACAAAAACTAGAAAAACTAGAAAGTGTAGAAGAAATGAATAAATTCCCGGAAATATACAACCTCTAGGATTAAACTAAGAAGAAATTAAATCCCTGAACAAACCAATAACGAGTTCTGAAATTGAATCAGTAATAAAAAGCCTAACAACCAGAAGCCCAGTACAAAATGGATTTAGAATTCTATTAACAGCTGGAAAGGGGCGGGCGCAGTGGCTCACTCCTGCACTCCCAGCACTTTGGGAGGCTGAGGTGGGCGGATCACCTGAGGTCAGGAGTTTGAGACCATCCTGGCCAACATGGTGAAACCCCGTCCCTACTAAAAATACAAAAATTAGCCGGGCATTGTGGCACGTGCCTGTAATCCCAGCTACCCGAGAGGCTGAGGCAGGAGAATGGCTGGAACCCGGGAGGCAGAGGCTACAGTGAGCCGAGATTATGCCGTTGCACTCCAGCCTGGGCTACAGAGTGATACTTTGTCTCAAAAACAAACAAACAAACAAAAAATACCCACCCCCCAAAAAAGCAAAACAAAAACAAACCAAACAAACAAAAAACCAACTGGAAAGTTTTACTGTTAGCCTGTTAGATTTCCCTTTTAGGTGACCTGTCCCTTATCTCTAGCTTCATTTAAGGTTTTTTTCTTCTGCATTGCCCTTAGAGAATCTGATGACTATATGTCTTGGAAATTGTCATCTTGGATAGTATTGCCTAGGAATTCTCCGAATTTCCTGAATTTCCATGTCAACCTTTCTAGTGAGATAGGGAAATTTTTCATGGACCATATTTTCAAATTTGTTTGCCAAGTTTCTTCTTTCTCAGCAGTGAGTTGTAGGTTTAATCTCTTTATATAATTTCATATTTCTCAGAGGTTTTGTTCATTTGTAAAAATTATTTTTTGTTTAGATATTTATTTATTTATTTCCTGTGTTGATTCAAAGGAGCAGTTTTCAAGCTCTGAAATTATTTCCTCAACTTGGTCTGTTTCCTTGTTAGTGCTTCCAGTTGTATTATGAAATTTCTATAGTGAATTTTTTTTTTTTATTTCCAGAAGTTGAGTTTGGTTATTTCTTAAAATGCTATATTGTTTTTCAACTCTTATATTTTCGTACCGTTTTCCTTGAATTTGGTTTCAGAGTTCTTATGTATCTCATTTAGCTTCCTTGCTAATTCAGGTTCTGAATTTAATGTCTGTCATTTCAGTCATTCAATCTTGTTAAGAACTATTGCTGGAAAGGTACTATGATTGTTTGAAAGTAAGAATACACTTTAACTTTTAGAGTTGCCAGAGTTCCTGCACTGATTTTTTCTCATCTGTGAAGTTTTATGTTCCTTTACCCATTGAAGTTGCTGACCTTTGGATGGGGCATTTTGTTTTTATGTTCTTTGCTTCCTTTGAGAGTTTGACTGTCTGGCAAGTTGGGTATGGTTAATTTTTTGATAAAAACTAAGACACAAAAACACACTTTAGTCTAGCCCTATATAGGGTGAGGATTACCAATATCACTGTCTTCCACCTCCACATCTTGTCCCACTGGAAGGTCTTCTGGGGCAATGACATGCATGGAGCTATCATCTCCTATATAACAACGCCTTCTTCTTGAATACCTTCTGAAGGACATACCCAAGGCTGATTTACAGTTAACTTACATCCATATGTGTGTGTGTGTGTATATATATATTACATATATATATACACACATATACATATATATATATGTGGAGTATTCACTAAAATAGAAATAAGAAGTATAGTAAATACGTGAACCAGCAACATACTCATTTATCATGATTATCAAATATTATATATTGTCCATAATTGTACATGCTATACTTTCATATAACTGACATCAGAGTAGGTTTACATCAGCATCACCACAAATTTGCTGGTAACGTGTTGTGCTATAGCGTTATGATAGCCATGATGTCACTAGGAAATAAAATTTGTAAGCTTCATAATTTTATGTGACCACAGTTGCATATGTGGTCTGTCATTGACCAAACTGTCATTATTTACTTCATGAAAATATCTCATATTAGATTAGGATAGAGTTCTTATTCTTTTTTTTAAAAAAAATCTGTCTATAAAATGCATAGTGATTTCAGATACATAGAGAAACTATGTACATCCTAAGTGTTTAGCTTGATAAGTTTTCACAAATCAACAGAATATACATTATTCTCATTGCTGCATGGCACTTACTCAAAAATTGATCACCTAATCAAAAGTAAAACACTTCTCAGCAAATGCAAAAGAACTGAAATTATAACAGTCTCTTGGACCACAGTGCAATCAAATTAGAACTCAAGACTAAGAAATTCACTCAAAATCATACAATCACATGCAAATTGAACAACCTGCTCCTGAATGACTTGGAAGTAATCAATGAAATTATGGCAAAAATGAAGTTCTTTACTAATGAGAACAAAGATACAGCATACCAGAATCTCTGGGACACAGCTAAGGCAGCATTAAGAGGGAAATTTATAGCACTAAATACCCACATGAAAAAGCTAGAAAGATCTCAAGTTAACAACCTCATATCACAACTAAGAGAACTAAAGAACCAAGAGCAAACAAACCCCAAAGGTAGCAGAAGACAAGAAATAACCAAGATCGGAGCTGAACTGAAGGAGATAGAGACATAAAAAACCTTTCAAAAAATCAATGAAACCAGGAGCTGCTTTTTTAAAAAAATTAATAAAATAGATAGACAACTAGTTAGGTTATTAATGAAGAAAAGAGAGAAGATTCAAATAAAGACAATCAGATGATAAGGGGGATATTACCATTCACCCTACAGAAATATAGATAACCAAAAGAGAGTATTATAAACGCCTCTGTGCACATGAACTAGAATATCTAGAAGAAATGGATAAATTCCTGGACACCTACACCTTCCAAGACTGAAGCATGAAGAAATTGAATGCTTGAACAAACCAATAACAAGTTCTGAAATTACGGCAGCAATAAATAGCCTACCAACCATAAAAAGCCCAGGACCAGACAGATTCACAGCCAAATTCTATCAAATGTACAAAGAAGAGCTGGCACCATTCCTACAGAAACTATTCCAAAAAAACTGAAACGGAGGGACTCGTCCCTAACTCATTTTATAAGGCCAGAATCATCCTGATACCCAAACCTGGCAGAGATACAACAACAACAACAAAACTTTAGGTCAATATCCATAACAAACATTGATATAAAAATTCTCTACAGAATACTGGCAAATTGAATCCAGCAGCAGATCAAAAAGCTTATCCACCATGATCAAGTGTGCTTCATCCCCAGGATGCAATGTTGCTTCAAAATACACAAATCTATAACTGTGATTCATCATATAAACAGAATTAAGACAAGCACCACATGATTATCTCAATAAATTCAGAAAAGGCTTTTGATAGAATTCAACATTCCTTAACATTAAAAACTCTCAATAAACTAGGTATTAAAGGAACATACCTCAAAATAATAAGAGCCATATATGATAAACCAACAGACAATATACTGAATGGGCAAAATCTGGAAGCATTCCCCTTGAAAACTGGCACAAGACAAGGATGCCCTCTCTCACCCCTTCTTATTCAAAATAGCACTGGAAGTTCTTGCAGGGCAATCAAGCAAGAGAAAAAATAAAGGTATCCAAGTAGGAAGAGAGGAAGTCAAACTATCTTTGTTTGCAGATGACATGATCCTATCTAGAAAACCCCATTCCTCAGTCCAATAGCTTCTTAAGCTGATAAACAATTTCAGCAGTCTCAAGATACAAAATTAATGTGCAAAACTCCTAGCATTCCTATGCAAGCTGAGAGCCAAATCATGAAGGAACTCCTATTCACAATCTCCGCAAACAGAATAAAATACCTAGGAATAGAGCTAACGAGGGAAGTGAATGATCTCTCTGAGGAGAACTACAAACCACTGCTCAAAGAAATCAGAGATGACACAAACAAATGGAAAAACATTGTATGCTCATGGATATGAAGAAGCAATATAGTGAAAATGACCATACTGTCCAAAGCAATGTATACAATCAATGCTGTTACCATTAAACTACCACTGACATTCTTCACAGAACTAGAAAATACTATCTTAAAATTCATATGGAAACAAAAAAGAGCTCAAATAGCCAAGGCAATCCTAAGCAAAAAGAACAAAGCTGGAGGCCTTATGCTACCCGACTTCAAACTATACTGCGTGGCTACAATAACAAAAACAGCATGCTACTCATAAAAGAACAAACACATAGACCAATGGAACAAAACAGAGAACCACATACCTGCAACCAGGAATAAGACTGCATACCTACAATCACCTGATCTTCAACAAACTGGACAAAAACAAGCAATGGGGAAAAGACTCCTTACTTAATAAATGGTACTGAAAAAACTGGATAGTCATGTGCAAAAAATTGAAACCAGACACCTTTCTTACATCATACACAAAAATCAACTCAAGATGGATTAAAAACTTAAATATATAACCCAAAACCATAAAAATACTGGAAGAAAACCTAGGCAATACCATTCAGGACATAGACACAGGCAGATTTCATGACAAAGATGCCAAAAGCAATTGCAACAGAGGCAAAACTTGACAAATATGATCTAATTAAACTAAAGAGCTTCTGCACAGCAAAAGAAACTATCAACAGAGTAAACAGACAACCAACAGAATGGGAGGAAACTTTTGCAAACTATGCATCTGACAAAGGTCTAACATTCAGCATCTGTAAGTAACTTAAACAAATTTACAAGAAAAAAACAAAAAGATCCCATTAAAAAGTGAGTAAAGGACATGAACAGACACTTCTCAAAAGAAGACATACATGTGGCCAATAATCATATGAAAAAATCACTGATCATTCGAGAAATTCAAATCAAAAGCACAATGAGATACCATTTCACACCAGTTAGAATGGCTATCATTAAAAAGTCAGTCAAAAATAATAAATGCTGGTAAGGTTGTGCAGAAAAAGGAACACTTTTACACTGTTGGTGGGAGGGGAAATTAATTCAATCATCATGGAAGACAGTGTGGTAATTCCTCAAAGACCTAGAGACACAAATACCATTAGACCCAGCAAGCTCATTACTAGGTATATACTCAAAGGAATATAAATGATTCTACTATAAAGACACATGCACATGTATGCTCATTGCAACATCATTCACAAAAGCAGAGACGGAATCAATCTCAACTCCCAATTATGAACAAAAATAGTTTTATTTCTGGATAAGGAAAATGTGGTGTATATACACCATGGAATACTATGCAGCCATAAAAAGAATGAGATCACGTCCTTTACAGGGACATGCATGGAGCTGGAGGCCATTATCCTTAGCAAACTAACACAAAATGGAAAACAAAATACCACATGTTCTCACTTATAAGTGGGAGCTAAATGATGAGAACACATGGGCGCACAGAGGAGAACAACACACAGTGGGGCTTACTGGAGGGCAGAGGGTGAGAAGAGGGAGAAGAACAAAAAACAATGACTAATGGATACTAGACTTAATTTAATACCTTAATGGTGAACTAATCTGTACAACTAACCCCCATGACACACGTATACCTATGTAACAAACCTGCACATCCTGCAAATGTACCCCTGAACTTAAAATTAAAGTTGTTGATATTTTTTGTTATTGTTTGTTTTAAAGAAAGCACCTGTGCATTCAGTGCCCACTTCAGGAACTAAGACACTACAGAACCTTCATGTGTCCGCTCTTTCTAAATCGAATATTTCAAATGTATTTTCATTTTCTCTGTATTCTAAACCCCATAAGATTTTACCAGTGTTTTTTCAATCAATATTAAATTATCATCCCACATATGCACACTTTCTGGTGTTTTTCCCCCCTCCTACATTTCCTTTTTTTCCATTTGGAAATATTTTTCTGCTGCTTGTAGACCCCAATATGTTCTTTCTGCAAGCCTGATAGCAACAGATCTCTTTAAATTTTATTTCTAAGGGACCATCTTTATTTCATCTTTACGAAGGCTATATTCATTTACATGCAATTCTAGGTTGTCAGTTATTTTCCTTAGTACTTTACAGAAGTCATTTCCTTTTCTTCTGTCTTCACTAATTTGTGACAGCAAATATATTTTTGTTTGTGTTTTTTGAGAATAAAGTGTATTTTTTTTTCCTCTGGCTACTTTAACTATTTTATACTTGTATTTTATTTTTAACTGTTTTGCTATAGCATGGCTATAGTTTGATTCTCTTTATTTATCCTACTTGAAGCATTTTGATCTTCTTAAATCTGTTTGTTGATCTTTCATGAGTTTTTAAAAATTCCCTGTCCTACATCTTCAACTCCTAATTCTATCCATTTTTTCTTCCCTGTGTATCTCTGGAAATCAAATTGTCACAGTACAAGAATTAGAAGGTTTCTATCTCTCTTAAGAGAGTGACAGGAATCATAATAACATATTTTAATCTACATCTTCTAGTGTTTCCTGACATACAGAAACTTCTCAATGAATGTTAAGCATTATGCTTATTATTATTACCAAATTGTCTGGAAAATAGCATGCCTTTTTATTACGAAAAAAAGTAGAAAACTAAAATCATCAGTATTCTTAAGTACAATAATATAACAATTTAATAAATAACTATTATCACTATTAGGAAATGAGCATTAGTATATTATAGGCTAGGCAGCAAATAAGAAAATAAAAATGCATAAAAACCCATTAATTTAAATTATCAGTATTTGCAAAACAAATACTAAAAACAACCAAAAATTCAAAGGCAATTAACACAAAAGCTTTTGGAAACCAAATAATCATCAAATAAAGAATCGAAAGGAATATGGAATATACTCATATGAATAGCTTTCCAAATTCTAAAAATAGTACAAATGAATTAGTACCATTAATATACCTATAGTTTTACAAGTCATAAAAAACGGCGAGATGAACAATTTACAAAGTAAGAAGGTAAATGAACCAAAGACTGAGAAAAGGGACACATATTAATATAAATATATATACACATATTTTAAAATATTAGCAAGTAGAAGTCAGATGATAGTTTTAAATCCTCCAATTTGTTCTTCTCCTTCAATATTATGTTGGCTATTACAGTCAGTTTTCAATATTCACAAAATAAATTGCTGGAATTTTTAATGGAATTACATTGCATCTATAGACAAAGTTGGAAAGACATCTTCCCATCTTGAACATATTGAATCTTCCTATGGCTAAACATAAAACATCTGTCTATTTATTTAGTTATTATTTGATTTTTTTTTTTTTTTTGAGACAGGGTCTCACTCTATCACTCAGGCTGGAGTGCAGTGGCATAATCTTGGCTTGGCTCATTGCAACCTTTGCCTCCTGGCTCAAGCAATTCTCCCACCTCAGCCTCCCTAATTGCTGGAACCCCAGGCATACCACCATTCCCGGCTAATTTTTGTATTTTTGGTAGAGACAGGGTTTTGCCATGTTGCTCATGCTGGTCTTGAACTTGAACTCCTGAGTTCAAATGATCTGCCCACCTTGGCCTCCCAAAGTGCTGGGATTACAGGTGTGAGCTTCTGTGCCCAACCTTAATTTCTTTTATCAAACTATTATAGTTTTCCTCCAATAAATCTTGTAAATATTTTGGTAGATTTGAATTTTTAAAAATTTTCAGTGCTAATAATGTAATTGGTATTATTTTTTAATTTCAAATTTCATTTGTTCATTGCTGATATATGGGAGAGTGATTTGCTCTGTGAATCCTGCAATCTTGCTATAATCACTCAGTTCCAGGAGGGTTGATTTGTTCAGATTTTCTACAGAGACAATCATGCCATTTACAAACAAAAATAGTTTTGTTTCTTCCTTCCCAATTAGTATAATTTGATTACCTTTCTTCGTCTTATTGCATCAACCAGGACTTCCAGGATGATGTTGCAAAGCAGTAATGAGAAGGAATGTCTCTTCCTTGAAGATTTTTCTTTTTTTTTTGAGACGGAATCTTGTTTCTTCGCCAAGGCTGGAGTGCAATGGCATGATCTTAGCTCACTCCCATCTCTGCCTCCCGAGTTCAAGCAATTCTCCTGCCTCAGCCTCTCCAGTAGCTGGGATTACAGGCATGTGCCACCATGCCCGGCTAATTTTCGTATTTTTAGTAGAGACGGGGGCCAGGCCGGTCTCGAACTCCTGAACTGCAGTGATCAGCCCTTCTCTGACTCCCAAAGTGCTAGGATCACAGGCGCGAGCCACCGCGCCTGGCCTCCTTGATGATCTTAGAAGGAAAGCTTCAAGTTTCTCGCTATTAAGTCTGATACTAGCTGTCAATTTTTTCAAATGTTCTCTGTGAAGTTGTGAACATTCCCTTCTATTCCTAACTTTCTGAGAGGCTTTATCATGAATGGATGTTGGATATTATCAAATTCTTTTTCTTTATGTGTTTATATAATCATGTGTTTTTTTTTTTCTTTAGCTTGTTGAGGTGACAAGATTACTTATTAACTTTTGAATTCTTAATCAGTCTTGCCTGTCTGCAATAAATCTCACTTGGTCATTGTGTGTAATTTTTAAAATATGTAGTTGGATTCTCTTTAAGAATATTTTTTAAAGCATTGTTCCATTTATGTTCATGAGGAATATCGTCCGTAGTTTTCTCTTCTACTGACATCTTTATCTGGTTTGGGTATTAGGTTTTACTGGCCTCATAGAAGAGTTAGTAAATACTTCTGCTTCTCATTTGGAGGAGATTGTAGAGAACTGATGTAATTTTTCCCAACTGTTTAGTATAACTCATCTGTGAGCCCATCTGGGCCTGGTGATTTTGGTTTCGGAAGGATATTGATCATTATTGTCAAGTTCTTTAATATATAATGGCATATTCAGCTTGACTATTTCTTCTTGTGTGACTTTTTTATCGTTTTGGCACATTGTGTGTTTCAATAGATTGGTTCATTGGGTTATCAAATTTAGACAGGTGTTCATAGTATTCTTTGATTGTCTTTTTAATATCCATGGAATTTGTAGTGATGTGTCTTTTTCATATTTGATATTAGTAATTTGCCTACTCTCTTTTTCCTTATTTAATCTGGCTAAAAGCTATTAATTTGTTGATATTTTAAAAGCTTTTGGTTTCACTGATTTTCTCAATTTATTTCCTATTTTTTCATTGATTTCTGTTCTAAGTGTAATTATTTGTTTTCTTCTGCTTACTTTGTATTTAATTTGCTTTTTTCCCCCAGCTTCCTAATGTGGAAATTTAGTTTATTAATTTTAGATATTTCTTCTTTTCTAGTATAGGCATTCAATGCTATAAATATTCCTCTAAGCACAGCTTTGCTGCATCCCATACATTGTGATAAGTTGTTTTCATCTTCATTTAGTCCAAAATATCTTTAAAAACTTCTATTAAGAGTTCTTCTTTGACTCATGATATTTGTTGTGTGTTGATTAATTTCTAAATATTTTAGGATTTCCAACTATGCTTTAGTATTAATTTCTAGCTTAATTCCATTGTGACCTGAGAGCAAACATTGTAAAATTTGTATTCTTTTAAATTTATTAGGATGTGTTTTATGGCCCAGAATGTGGCCTATCTTGCTTACTGTTTCATGTGAGCTTGAGTAAAATCTGTATTCTGCTGTTGTTGGATCAAGAAATCTATTGATATCAATTATATTCAATTTATTTTTATAATGTTGATACTACGTCCTTACCCATAGTCTGCTGTATCTGTTCATTTCTGGTAGAAGGATGTCAAGTATAAAAATGGATTTGTCTATTTATTTTTGTTGCTATATAAATTTTTGCTTCAAATATTTTGACACTCTTTTGTTAGGCATAAACATTAGTAATTGTTATTGTCTTCTTGGAGAATCACAAAGTATCATTATGTAATATCCCTCTTGATGCCTGATAATTTTTCTTCCTCTGAAGTCTACTCTGTGTGAAATTAATATTGTGATTCCCACTTCCTTTTGGTTGGTGTAAGCATGGTCTAACTTTCATTATACGTTTTCTTTTATACTACATGTGTCTTTATATATGAATTGGGTTTATTGCAAACAACAAATATTTGAGTCATATTTTTATATCCTTTCTGACTTTTGATGGTGCAGTTAGACCTCTGATGTTCAAAGTGATTGATGTAGTTGGCTTTGTATCTATCATATTTGTTATTAGGTTTCCCTTGGTCTTTGTGCCTATCTTTGTCTTTCACTCTTTTTCTTCCTTTTGGTGCTTCAGTTAAGCATTGTATATGTTGTCAATTTTTCTTTTTTTCAGAATATCAGTTATACTTTTTCTTTTAATGTTTGCCCTTAAGTTTGCAATATACATTTACACCTGATCCAGTCGACTTTCCAATAACACTATACTACTTCATAGGTGGTGTGAGTACGTTATAACAAAAATTTCTAAATCCTTCCTCCCATTTCTTGTATCATTAATGTTATTCATTTTACTTATATGTAAGCATATATGTTATTAATATATAAGCACACATAGTTAAGTAAATTGTTGCTATTAATTTGAACAAACTGTTCTCTGTTAGATCAATTAAAAATAAGAAAAAAATTTTCTTTTATCTTCATTTACTGCTTTTTGATGCTCTTTATTTATCAAGATCTAGGTTTCTGACCTATATAATCTGACCTATATAATTTTTTCCAGCATTTTTTTCACTGTTCCTTAAAATTTCCATCTATCTGCTTATATTGTCTATCTGTTCTGTAATTTTCTCTCTAAAATACATTTTTGAAAATATATGTCTTGCATGGCAGGTCTTCTGGCATCAAATTGTTAATTTTTATTTGTCTGAGAAAATTTTTATTTCTCTTTCATTTTTGAAGCACAGTTTCACTGAGTACAGAAATCTAGGTTGGTAGGTGATTATTTTTTCTCTCAACATTTAAACATTTAACTCCAATCTCTTCTTGATTGTATGATTTCTGAGGATAGTCAAATGTAGTTCTCCTTTTTATTCCTCTATAACTAACTTGTTTATTCCATCTGTTGTCCAACAGAATTTTTATCTTTATATTTGATTTTCTGTAGTTTGTATCCTGTTAGTTGTTCTCTGAGCTTCCCTGGTGTGTGGCTTGGTTTCAGATTTAAACGTGAAGAAAATTCTCAGTCATTATTTTTTCAAATAGTTACTCTCTTCCTTTCATTTTTTTTTTCTTTTCCACCAGGTATTCTCATTACATGTTTATTAGATCTTTTGTGGGTGCCCACAGTTCTTTAGTATTCGGCATGTTTTTTTGTTGTTGTTGTGTTACAGGTTTTTTTTTTCCCTTTGCTTTTTAGTTTCAGGAGTTTCTACTGAGATATCATCAAGCTCAGAGATTCTTTGCTTACTTGTGTCCACCTTGCTAATAAGCCCATCAAAGCCTTCATTTCTGTTATGGTGTTTTCAGTTGCTAGCATTTCTTTTTCACACTTCTTTAAAATTTCCATCTGTCTGCATATATTGTATAGCTATTCTTGCATGCTGTCTACTTTATTTATTGGAGCCCTTCACATATTAATCATAATTGTTCTAAATTCCCATTATGATAATTTCTACATTCCTGCCATACCTGAATCTAGTTCTGATGCTTGGTATCTGTCTTCAAGCTGTCTTTTTTGTTCTCCCTCTTATAATGTCTTGCAATTTTTCTTGAGAGCTGGATATGAGATATTGGGTAAAATAAACTGCTATAAATAGAACTTCAGTAATTTAATGGTAAGATGTGAGGGGAGGAGAAACATTTTGTAGTCCTATGATTAATTCTCAGTTTTTAGTGATTTTGTCTTTTTGGACTGTGAACTTCACAAGTGTTTCTCATCCTCCTCTCCCTTAGATGAAACAGCAGGATGGATAGAAGTAGTAGAATCGTGTATTTCCCTTCTTTCATGTAGATGGCTAACATTGGTTGGAACTGGGTATTTCCCTTCTTCCAAGTAATGGGTAGAGCTAGATGAAGTTGGGTATTTTCCTCACTTTAGGTTAGTTAGGCTCTGATAAAATCCCAGCAAGTTAGGTTCTCGGTAAATTATTTCCCCTGAGAGCTGACCTTGTTAAGAAGAACAGAATTCTTAGATGTATTGTGAGATGATTCCTATTCTTCTCCCCTTACTAAAAGTAGGATATTTTTCTCCACTATTCATTGTGAGAAACTGGCTAAGCTCTGAGAAGTAAAATGCACAAAACTGTGGAGGGCCTGATATTTTAGCTCCCCTGGGGTTTTTAATCTCTCAGAATAGTCCACATTAAACTTCCAGCAATTTGTCAATTACAGTTCAGATTTTGCTACCCTGGCAGTTGTTCCTCTGGGGGGTTTCGGTCAGGTAAGCTGTGAATTTCTATATTCTCTTGTCTGTCTCTCCAATTTTGAGGACAACAGTTTGCCTTGTGACCTTACTTTTCTTGTGAATCTATAAAGAATTGTTCATTTTGGTTTGTTCAGCTCTTTGGTTATTTTTAGTTGGAATGGAAACGTCTAAACCCCTTACACACTGGACAGGAAAACTCTTTTATATATATTCTAAGGGCACTAGTAATGTAATGTGGGGTCCAAGAGGAAGTAGCACTGGAATGACCAGATTCATGACTTTGATACTTCCTTCATTCAAATCTTTCTGGCAATTTTTTAAGGTTTGAACTTTAAAAACACAAGAATGCCTTATTGCGGAAAATGCAAAATTGACTATTATATTATACTACCATTCCAAAATGGACTTGTACTGAACCTAGTAACTCTAATAGTGCTTGCCAACATGCTGGGTTGAGACCTAGAATTATCTATAAAATAACTTGTGATGGGACTGTGAGTTTGATTTTACATTTTAGACCATGAGGCTGTGATCTCATGACATAACAACTTAAATATCCCTAGATCTTAGCTTTAATAAAAACAGAAACTAGGCCAACATCTTTATCTAACCTTGTTCTAGAAACTGTCCCTATAAAGTCATATTGACTAGAATTGAATATGGAACTCACAATGTCAACACTCCCATTCTCTAGGCCTTTATGAGCATAGCCCAAAGAAACAAGATTTCTATTTTATGAAAAATAATAATCACATGTTTCCTACAGACTTAACTTCCATATAATTAACCTTCCAATTAACCTCCCATCATCACTTATTAAGAATCACAAATACAACTGCTACAGTTTTCTTTTTGCCAAAGAAATACTTTTTATAAATAATGATTAAAAATAATCTTCAGAGAAATATGTTAGCATGGTTCAAGGTTCAGAAGCTCACCAGGTTGTCAAGATAAAATACAGAAAGTAGATAAAAGTGAATAAAAAATTTTAAAATTCCTTTAAAATATACACTTTTCAATTTCTTGAGAGAACTTAAATGTGGAGATTCTAATGACACTCAGGATCTCTAGTTAGTTGAGTTATTTCATTTCTGTAGCTGTACAGAATAAATTATGACAAATGGATGTGTTTAGTCCTCATATTCACATTTTATCATAAAATTGATAAACTAATAGTGTAGAATATAAAAATTATTATTTTTAAAGATAAATCCATTATGTCTACTTGAAATGTTGCTTCAAAAATTACATGTCTTTAATATCTGAGGTTATTTTTTCTTCATGAATTTGAGTATTCATGGTTAAAAGCAGTCATATGCACATTTTTAAAGCTTTCATTAACTGTCTGATCCGAAGTTTATAACGACTAACTACAACTATCAAAAAAACTCTGGGTATTTTTAAGTTTATATAGTCTTAAAAGTAATCATAGTTTAATTTATGCAAATATGACATTCAAGAAAAGATAATTCTAATTGAGATTTTAAGTGAAGGATTTCACAAGCAGATGTACAAAAATAATAAAACCAAGAAAACCTGTATACTTTCACCCAGTTTTTTTCCAATAGTAACAGCTGGCAAAATGATAACACAACCAGAATATTGAGATTGATGCAATCCACTGATCTTATTTAGATTTCCTTAGTTTTACTTGTATTCATTTATATATGTATGTGCATTTAATCTATACAATTTTATTGCATGCATAGACTCATGTCAAATTATATTAGGTTGGTGCAAAAGTAATTGCACTTTTGCCATTACAGCCAAGATACAGCACAGTTTTATCACCCCATGTATGTCTGTTTGATTTTTTATAATGGCATCTCTGTCCCTGCACTTAATTCTTACCTCACTCCATCTTACATCCTAACTTAGTCTTCATTTCTAAAACGTTGTTTAGATATTCTAATTTTGAGGAAGTATTTTTAAAATATTGATATTGTGCCAAAATTACACCTCTCTCTTCACTAAATTCACATAGAACACAAATATATCTCTACATGAATGACCATTGTAACAACAACCTTCCCATATGGAACCTCATTGTTGGCTCTGTGTACCCCATATTATGTTTTAAATAAATGTGTTGTTAAAAATTCGTTACATAGCTTATTGTCTATGCAACTCAGTCAAAAAGGATACAGAGTAAGCTGATAAAGAAAACTTCATCCTTAACAAAATGTTGGCTGTCCCCTCCTCTATAACAGCTCTCTGATGATTTTTTGATAGGTATTATCAGCTGCCATTTCTGTCTTCAGCTAGTTTCACTTAAACAATGTGAGAAAATGAATCGGGCCCTGTATCATAGATCCTGAATAAAGTACTATCTTTGCAAAAATAAAAATAATTCATAAGTTAAAGGGGAAACTACCCAGATCTCTTATTTGTGTAAACATAACCATTACACATGACCTAAAATAATTAATGACAAAAGCAACACCAAGTAGAAAATAAGTACATCCTTTGGTTAAATTGGAACTATGGCCTGGTGACATTATGTACAAGATTATTAAAAATTTAGAAGCTTTTGTTTTGATAAAAATAATAAGACTTAATAATTATACCATAAATCTCTAGATAATTGAAATTTGAATTTACTAGTAAAGTCTCTGTGCTATGGGTTCCACTGGTATTTTTTTTACTATTTCAGGTATTAGGAGGGATCCAAGGGTTATAAATAAACAAATTAATGAGCCATCTTTGTTTAAGGTTAATAGTAACAGTAAGTCCAATTAATTTAAGGAAGTGAAAATATGGATTTGCCTTTGCTCTTATTTGTTGGGGTTAGAGATGGTGGAGAAACAGAAAGAAGGCCAAGTTTCATAGAGTTCATGGGAACCACACTGTTTACTACTCATGCATTAGACTTTACTCTTTCATGTTCATTACCCGAATTATTAGGTTGGTGTAAAAATAATTGTGGTTTTTGCCATTGAAAGTAATAATTTTTGACTTCCTAGAACATTAGAATCCCTCTATGGAAAAAATTGTAAAATCCGGATCCAATAATATGGTGATATTGATTATCATATAAGTATATGGAGGGTTTTTATTTATTTTGAGTAATACAAAGTTTCAGAGAGGTTAAATGACTTTTGTAATGGTTAGAGTACATGGGGAAATTTATATTGTCTTTTGATATTAGTTCCCATTGTTGGCAACCAAAGATTTATGTTTTACTGGTAATCACTGAGATACCAATTCTCCTTGAAAATAACTGTAAATCAAAAAGAGAACAGACTCATTATTGAGAAAATCAGTAAGATAATCTTTTCTTTCTTTTTTTTTTTTTGAAGAGATGAGGGTCTCACTATGTTGCCCTGGCTGAGCTCAAACTACTGGGCTCAAGCAGTTCTCTAGCCTAAGCCTCCCAAGTAGCTGGGACTACAGGCAAATACCACTGTGGCTGATGGTAATCTCTTTATTTTTAAAATCTAGTTCATGATAAAATATACTTTTAATTTGGAAACTTTGCTTAATATGCATTAGTTTTTCTCATGAACTTATGTGTATATATGAAATTATACATATGAAATATATATATATTTGTTTCCATGCATAGAAGTTATTATAAAATAAATGTAAATACTTTTCAGTTTTGAAACACTATTTGGAATTATAAGACAAAGACAGAGAAGTATGCCTATAAACTTTATATTCTCATCAGTTTATTCAGAAAAATTACATTTGTTATGGCTATGGGTGGAATTATGTTCTCCCATGAAGATATACTCAAGTTCTAATTCCAGCACCTCAGAATATGGCCTCATTTGGAAACAAGATGTTTGTAGATGTAATTAGTTAAGATAAGGTTATATTAGAGCAGGATGGACCCCTGATTCCAATATAACTTGAATCATTATAAGAAGGTGTCCATGAGAAGACAGAGATGTAGGGACAACTCCATGTGAAGATGGAGGCAGAGGTTTGAATAAAGTATCTAAAAGCCAAGGAATGCCACTACTTGCTGTCTGCCATCAGGGAGAGGAGTGGAATAGATTCTCTTTCAGGAGGAACCAACATTACCAATACCTTGATTTCAGGCTTCTATCTTCCAGAACTGCGAATGAATATATTTTTGATGTTTTAAGCCACTCAGTTTGTAGTACTGTACTAAGACTTCTCTAGGAAACTCATACAATTAATCTAAAGGTTTACCCTTCACCAGAACATCTTCTCTGACTCTGTTAATACAAGCTAAAAAAAAAAAAATTAAATCATGGAAACCATTTTTGAATATGTAGTGATATTACAAATGAAATACAAATTGAAGCAGGCAAGGTGGACTTGTTTTTTGTTTTATTTCTTTTTTGAAAGGCTAGTATATTTGAGGATAGCAGAGGCAGGGATTTATCAAGATTTTTACATTCATCTTCCAGTACTAGTACCTGACAAGAAAAAAATGTAAAAAAATACAAAAAATTTTGGTACTTCATTTAACATGACAATTGCTGTCATGTTTGTTGGTATAACTATCCAATAGTCACTTTTGTGTATAGGTGACTTCTTTGTATATGAAAACTCTTTCTCCTTTTTCTTTATTCTAAACAGTGTTGAAGTAGCAGACAACATGACACTTTCATCTACTATTTTTTTTCCAGTATCCTCTAAGAAGTAGGACATTGTCCTAAATAAGAATACCATTTTCACATTTAATACAATTAAAATGATTTCATGGTATCATCTAATATAGAGTCTATGTTCAGATTTCAGGCTTCAAAATGTCCTTTATTTATTGTGTTGTTGTTTCCATTGTATGTTTTTAACTTCAGGTCCCAATGAAAATACCTGAAGTGCACTGGACAATTCTGCCTTTTTACTTTCTATTTATATATCTCTCTCATAACTCTAGCACAGTTTTTCCTTCATTTTTATTTTTGTTTTCCATATTATTAGTCTTTTTAAAGATTTTAAATCATTTACCCTGCATACTGCATAATGCTCTATATTTTAGTTTTGCCTGGAAGTTGTCCTATTATTACATTCAGGTTAAACATTTTGGGCAAGAATACTATACAGGTGATACATGCACTTTATATTTTACCACATCAAAACACATACAATATCAAGTCATCTCATTATCATTGATGTTAATTCTAATTACTTTGCTAGGATGATAGCCATCATATGTCTCCATTTTAAAAGCAAAATATCCATTCTAAGTAATCTGAAATGTAATATTCTTGAGAAGATGTTAATATAGAATTCATTTGTGTTCTTCAACGTATGTCTTTTCTTTTTCATTAATTATACAGTGCGTAGAAAACATTGTCAGTTTTACTTCTTTGTCCTTTAGTTCTGAGGCATTTTCTTTCGATATGTCTTTGTTAATTGTATCCTCTTCTCTATTCTTTCCTTTGGCAGTTCTTATTCACTAGGACACTTGTTATCTCTATTATTCTTTTATTGTTTTCCTTTTAATAATTTTTAGGGTACAAGCAATTTTTGGTTACATGGATAAGGTCTTTAGAGGTGATTGCTGAGGTTTTGGTGCACTCTTCATTTGAACAGTGTGAACTGTGCCCAATATATGTTTTTTTTAATCCCTCGCCCCACTCCCATGCTTCCCTCCAAGTCCCCGGAGTCCATTATATGATTCTTATGCCTTTGCATCCTCATAGCTTAGCTCTCACTTATAAGTGAGAACATACAATATTTGGTTTTCCATTCCTGAGTTACTTCATTTAGAATAATGGCCTCTAGCTCAATCAAAGTTGCTGCAAAAGATATTGTTTCATTCCTTTTTACGACTGAGTAGTATTGCATGATGTATATATACCACATTATCTTTATCCACTTATTGGTTGATGGGCACTTAGATTGGTTCCATATTTTTGCATCTGAGAATTGTGCTGCCATAAACATGCATATGCGTGTGTCTTTTTCATATAATGACTGTTTTTTCTCCCACTCTGGGGGTTGTCTGTCTACTCTGTTAATTACTTCTTTTGCTGTACAGAAGCTTTTCTTAGTCTAATTAGGTCCTATTTATTTCTTTATTTTGTTGCATTCGCTTTTGGGGTCTTAGTCATGAATTCTCTGCTTAAGCCAATGTCTAGTTTTCTGATGTTATCTTCTAGAATTTTTATGGTTTCATGTCATACTTCAGATTTGAGTGTTTGGTTCATCCTGGGTTGTATTAGGTGAGAGATGAAGATTCAGTTTCATTCTTTTTTATGGCTCGCCAGTTTTCTCAGCACCGTTTATTGAATAGGTGTTTTAAATTCTATTTAGATGATGACTCACATTTATTGACTTGCATATGTTAAATTATCCCTGTATCCCTGTTATGAAACTCACTTGATCATGACATATTATCTTTTTGACATGCTGTAGGATTAGATTAGCTTATATTTTGTTGAAGATTTTTGCATCTGTGTTTGTCAGGGATAATAGCTGATTGTTTTCTTTTTTTTGTTAAGTCTTTCCTTGTTTGGGTATTAGGGTGAATCTGGCTTCATAGAATGGTTTAGGGAGTATTCCCTCTTTATCTTTTGAAATACTTTCTGTAGAATTTGTACCAGTGCTTTATTGAATATATGATGGAATTCAGCTGTGAATCCATCTGGTCCCAGACTTCTTTTTGTTGGCATTTTTTAAAATTATTTATTCGATCTTGCTGCTTGTTATTGGTGTGTTCAGAATTTCTGTTTCTTCCTGATTTAATCTAGAAGAGTTGTATATTTTCAGGAATTTATCTGTCCCCTCTAGATTTTCTTGTTGGTGTGCATAAAAGTGTTAATAGTAGCCTTGAATGATATTTTGCATTCCTGTGGTATTGGTTGTAATATATCCAGTTTCCCATTTGTAATCAAGTTTATCTGAATCTTTCTTTTTTTCTTGGTTAATCCCCCTAATGGTCTATCTTTTGTTTATATTTTCAAAGAACCAGCTTTTTATTTAATTTACCATTTATATAATACAGTGGGAAGGTGTCTGGACTTGGTTCTCATCTCAGCCGCTTTCATAATAACTTTGTGGCCCTGATCAAATTGCATAGCTTCTCTTGGCCTCAGCTTTCTGGTCAGTAAGCTAAAAGACAGGCTGATAAAACGGTTTTTAAAGAAACTTCAGAGCTAAAGCTCTAAATTTCCGGGAACACTAAACTGAACAGCGTTCAACTATTATATATTTACTACCTAAGCACACAGTAAATAATTAGGTTGTTGTAAGAGAGTTTCAGTACATTTAATCTTAAAAAATCCTGTACCTTAGCCATGGAAATAAAAACAATTACTGTCAGACATTTGTAATCATTGGAGCTTTCAAGATTCATTTGCAGCAAACTGAAACTCATTACTTTTTCTAATCAACAAACTAACTTAACTGTCACTAATGCTTCTTGAAAATCTAAAGAAAGATAGTAATTTTAAAAGTACTAGGTAAAATTCAATAAATAAATTATTAAAAGAAGTTTTATGAACCCAAACTTAGGGAACAATTGAGAATTCCTGAGTAGTTGGGAACTCTAATTCAGAATCCTTTTAACTAGCATTAGTGTGTCTAAGAGAAGATAATGTGACAATTATTTTGTACCTTGGTTTTCTCTAACCAGATTACATAATAATACCTGGCATTTAGACACTGGTTATAATTTTTAATGTACTGTTTCATGTATTTTTAATTAATTCCCTTCACTCAACCTGAAAAGATGAATAATCATAATACCATATATACATATTTTTGAACACTCAAGACATACTATTTTCTTGCAAATATTATTTAATCCTCCTAAACCTTACAAAAAGAACATTCTAATCATATCCTTTCTTTTATGATGAGAAAAAATGACACAAAATATTAAATTTCTTCTCAACTAATTGGAAGTAGCGCCAGGAAACTAATCAGGCAGTCATGTAATTAGCAACAATATTGAACCACCTTGAGACAGGAAATTGGGTTTTAACAGGATTTGCAAGCTCTAAGAATTGCACAATGTTATCTTAACACTTAAATTTCGGGAAATGATTACAAAGGAGTTTTTGAGATCACACAAATTTTTCCTTTTTTGCTATTTTTTTATTATACTTTAAATTCTGGGATACATGTGCAGAACGTGCAGGTTTGTTACATAGGTATACATGTGACATGGTGGTTTGCTGCACACATCAACCCGTCATCTACATTTGGTATTTCTCCTAATGCTATCCCTCCCCTAGGCCCGTACCGCTAACAGGCCCTGGTGTGTGACGTTCTCCTCCCTGTGTTCATGTGGTCTCATTGTTCAACTCCCACTTATGAGTGAGAACATGCGGTGTTTAATTTTCTGTTCTTGTCTTAGTTTGCTGAGAATGGTGGTTTCCAGCTTTATATATGTCCCTGCAAAGGACATGAACTCATCCTTTTTTGTGGCTGCATAGGGTTCCATGGTGTATATGTGCCACATTTTCTTTATTCAGTCTATCATTGATGGGTATTTGGGTTGGTTCCAAGTCTTTGCTATTGTGAACAGTGCTGCAATAAACATACGTGTGCATGTGTTTTCATAGAAGAATGATTTATAATCCTTTGGGTAAATACCCAGTAATGGGATAATTGCTGGGTCAAATGGTATTTCTGATTCTAGATCCTTGAGGAATTGCCACACTGTCTTTCAAAATGGTTGAACTAATTTACACTCCCACCAACAGTGTAAAAGCATTCCTATTTCTCCACATGCTCTCCAGCATCTGTTGTTTCCTGACTTTTTAATGATCGCCATTCTAACTGGCGTGAGATGGCATCTCATTGTGGGTTTGATTTGCATTTCTCTAATGACCAGTGATGATGAGCTTTTTTTCATATGTTTGTTGGCTGCATAAATGTCTTCTTTTGAGAAGTGTCTCTTCATATCCTTTGCCCACTTTTTGATGGGGTTGTTTATTCTTTTCTTGTAAATTTGTTTAAGTTCTTTGTAGATTCTGGATATTAGCCCTTTGTCAGATGGATAGATTGCAACAATTTTCTCCCATTCTGTAGGTTGCCTGTTCACTCCAATGATAGTTTCTTTTGCCGTGCAGAAGCTCTTAAATTTAATTAGATCCCATTTGTCAATTTTGGCTTTTGTTGCCATTGCTTTTTGTGTTTTAGTCGTGAAGGCTTTGCCCATGCCTATGTCCTGAATGGTATTGACTAGGTTTTCTTCCAGGGATTTTATGGTTTTAGGTCTTACGTTTAAGTCTTTAATCTATTTTGAGTTAATTTTGTATAATGTGTAAGGAAGGGGTCCAGTTTCAGTTTTCTGCCTATGGCTAGCCAGTTTTCCCAATACCATTTATTAAATAGGGAATCCTTTCCCCATTTCTTGTTTTTGTGAGATTTGTCAAACAAAGATCAGATGGTTGTAGATGTGTGGTATTATTTCTGAGGCCTCTGTTCTGTTCCATTCATCTATATATCTGTTGTGGTACCAGTACAATGCTGTTTTGGTTTATGCAGCCTTGTAGTATAGTTTGAAGTCAGGTAGCATGATGCCTCCAGCTTTGTTCTTTTTGCTTTGGATTGTTTTGGCTATAAGCGCTCTTTTTTGGTTCCATAGAAAATGTAAAATAGTTTTTTCTAATTATGTGAAGAAAGTCAATGGTAGCTTGATGAGGATAGAATTGAATTTATAAGTTACTTTGGGTACTATGGCCATTTTCACGATATTGATTCTTCCTATCCATGAGCATGGAAAGTTTTTCCATTTGTTTGTGTCCTCTCTTAATTCCTTGAGCAGTGGTTTGTGGTTGTCCTTGAAGAGGTACTTCACATTCCTTGTAAGTTGTATTCCTAGGTATTTTATTCTGTTTGTAGCAATTGTGAATGGGAGTTCACTCATGATTTGGCTCTCTATCATTGGTGTATAGGAATTCTTGTGATTTTTGCACATTGATTTTGTATCCTGAGACTTTGCTGAAGTTGCTTATCAGCTTAAGGAGAGTTTAGGCTGAGACGATGGGGTTTTCTAAATATACGTCATGTTATCTACAAACAAAGATAATTTGACTTCTTCTCTTCCTATTTGAATACATTTTATTTTTTTCTCTTGCCTGATTGTCCTGGCCAGAACTTCCAAAACTATGTTGAATAGGAGTGGTGAGAGACGGCATCTTTGTCTTGTGCCAGTTTTCAAAGGAATGCTTCCCTCTTTTGCCCTTTCATTGTGATATTGGCTGTGGTTTTGTCATAAATAGCTCTTATTATTTTGAGATATGTTCCATCAATACCTAGTTTATTGAGAGTGTTTTTAGCATGAAGGGGTGTTGAATTTTATCAAAGGCTTTTCCTGCATCTATTGAGATAATCATGTGGCTTTTGTCATTGTTTCTGTTTATGTGATGGATGACATTTATTGATCTGTGTATGTTTAACCAACCTTGCATCCCGGGGATGAAGTCGACTTGATTGTGGTGGATAACTTTTTGATGTGCTGCTGGATTAGGTTTACTAGTATTTTATTGAGGATTTTTGCATTGATGTTCATCAGGGATATTGTCTTGCAATTTTCTTTTTTTATTGTGTCTCTGCCACGTTTTGGTATTAGGATGATACTGGCCTCATAAAATGAGTTAGGGAGGAGTCCCTCTTTTTCTATTGTTTGGAATAATTTCAGAAGGAATGGTATCAACTCTTCTTTGTACCTCTGGTACAATTCAGCTGTGAATACATCTGGTCCTGGACTTTTTTGGTTGCTAGGCTATTAATTACTGCCTCAATTTCAAAACTTGTTATGGGTCTATTCAGAGATTTGGCTTCTTCCTGGTTTAGTCTTGGGGGGATGTGTGTGTCCAGGAATTTATTATTTTCTCCTAGAATTTCTAGTTCATTTGCATAGAGGTGTTTGTAGTATTCGCTGATGGTAGTTTGTATTTCTGTGGGATCAGTGATGATATCCCCTTCATCATTTTTTTATTGTGTCTATTTGATTCTTCTCTCTTTTCTTCTTTATTAGTCTGGCTAGTGGTGTATCTATTTTGTTGATCTTTTAAAAGAACCAGTTCCTGGTTTCATTGATTTTTTGAAGGTTTTTTTCATGTCTCTATTTCCTTTAGTTCTGCTCTGATCTTAGTTATTTACTGTCTTCTGCTAGCTTTTGAATTTGTTTGCTCTTTCTTCTCTAGTTCTTTTAATTGTAGTGTTAGGGTGTCAATTTTAGATCTTTCCTTCTTTCTTCTGTGGTCATTTAGTGCTATAAATTTCCCTCTACACACTGCTTTAAATGTGTCCCAGAGATTCTGGTATGTTGTGTCTTTGTTCTCATTGGTTTCAAAGAAACACTCACGAACATTTATCTCTTATCTCTTTAATATTAATCATGCTACCAGGTGTGAGGAGGTATCTCATGTGGGTTTAATTTGTATTTCTCTGGCGATTAGTGATGTTGAGCAAATTTTTTTATAATTCTTGAACATTTGAGTGTCTTGTTTTGCAAAAACGTATTCACTTCCTTTGTCCATTTTTAATTGACTTGTTTTCTTCTGTTAAGTTATTTGAGTTCCTTACATATTTAGGATATTAATCCCTTATCAAATACATGGTTTGCAAATATTTTCTCAGACTGTGTAGATTACCTTTTCATTCTTTAAATTGTTTCTTTTGCTGTGCAGAAGCTTTGTAGAAGAAAAGCTTTTTTGCCCTTTTCATTTTTTTTTCCTCTTTTACTCTATTAGCACTGTCAGCTTTGAGTTTAGGTAAGAATTCTGTTTTCATATTGCTTATTTAAAAAAAATAAAAATCAGTCCTGCAGTTAGCATTAAAATTGGTAATTTCTGCATAATTAATTCATCAAGTTATAAACTTTTGCTGCTTTTATTCCATTTGTAGCATTTTTCACTTAGTACACTTCCGTTCTTAGAATGAAACCACTTATGAAATAGAAAGAAAGCTTGAAATCAGAACACTGTATATATTTTGACAATTCTTCATTGGGAAATATGTGTTATAATGGGCAACGTGAAGTAAAAACAAGATCATAAGTGGTTTTTTCTCCTAAACCAAATACTTTTTTTTATTTTAAATTAAGGCTTGTATTCTACATGATTTGTACAGTCATTACAGTTAAAAAAAAAGTAGGTGACGGTAATTTTTCAAGATGTCATTTGCGTATTTCAATAAATATGTTCTTCAGTAAATAGTTGAGAAAACATCTGTGAATATTATCACTATGTAATCAACATACTAATAAACCAACTCAAAAATAAAATCATTATGCCATCATAAACATTGTGATATATTGTGATATATTATCTGTTTTAGCTTTTGTTTAAATGATAGGTGTGCTTTCTGATTTGTGAACTATGGCTCATGCAGGAACAGTTAATATTTATTTGTATAGGAATGTCAATCTACTATGTTTAAAGATATTTAATTTTGGCTGGGTGTGGTGGCTTACACCTGTAATCCCAGCACTTCAGGAGGCCGAGGTGGGCAGATCACGAGGTCAGGAGATCGAGACCATCCTGGCTAACACAGTGAAACCCCGTCTCTACTAAAAATACACAAAATTAGCCAGGCGTGGTGGCAGGCACCTGTAGTCCCAGCTACTTGGGAGGCTGAGGAAGGAGAATGGGACGGACCTGAGAGGCGGAACTTGCAGTGAGCTGAGATTGCGCCACTGCACTCCAGTGTGGGCAACAGAGCAAGACTTTGTCAAAAAAAAATCTCATATACCAGTAGCAATAGATCATATTAAATGTTATAGTAATAAGATTTCCAGCATTATTCCAAAGGTGACCTTCAGTTAAGCTGTTCACACTTCTATAATTTGAAGTCTCCACTTTTTAGGTATACCTCTAAGTAAATTGATGGCCAAAGTTCTGTGGGGAAATTTTGCATTATTTGTCTATAATTGCCAATGTATCTCACAGCTTCTTAAGTTCAATTAATCTTCTAGAATACTCTGAAATTTATGTCCACTTCATTATAAAAATGTAAGCCTTCTTGCAGCATATTTAATTAATAGTAAAGATGAAGATCTAGGAGAAACTTGTAAAGTATCTTCAACTTCCCTGAAAATTGCTGCTCAATTTGATTTCTATGCTAATATTTATATTGTTGAACTTGTGTAATGACAATAGAGAGCTTACATATCCCAATATAAAGAGAAAAATGCTTGAACTGATAATACAATATAGAATATATACAAATATTTCCAATAATCAAATATATTTTGGGACATAATTAGTCATCAAGTAATGCAAATTGAAATGAAAATAAACTAGTAGTTCAAAATCTTTAGAAAGGCTAACATTTCAAAAGCCAACAATGCCAACTTCTAGTAACGGATAGTAAATAAGTTTTTCAGACATTCTCAGAGGCAGTATAATATAATTTTGAAAACTGGTTGTCATTCACTTATAAAAATTAAGATGTAAGTATCCTATGGCTCTTATGTTTAATAAAGAGGAATGAAAGTGAAAGCATCTGTCCCCAAAATGACTTGTACAAGAATGTTATAATCATTTAATACTTAATAGTCAAAAACTGAGAACAATCCAAATATCCCTCAAAAGAAACAAAAAAAGCAAACATGGAATGGAATAACATTCCTCAAGGTGAAGGTACAAACTACTGATAGAAAAAACTACCCAAGGAGAAATGACTGAGGACAAGCGAGTTCCTACTTCAATTCCTATGATATTCTAAAACAGACGAAATGATCTATCATAATAAAAATCATAATGGTAGTTGGTTCTGGGGTTGGGCATTATCAGGAAAGGTATATGAGAAAAATTTTTACTTTGAATAGAGCCATTTTAAATCCTGATTAAGCGTAGATTGCCCAGTGGTATATATTTGCTAAATTCACAGTCTACATTTAAAATCTGTGCATTTTACTGAATAACATTAAGCTTTAACTTTACACATTTGGATAAACTATTCATATTTTTCTGCAATTTGCTTCCTCTTCCCCCGTTGCAGAGTAGAATTGCTGAAACCCTCAAAATTGAGAGTTACATATTTAAATTTCTCTTTTATCAGTTTTAGTTTTTCTTAAGGGGCTATTTCTAGATTAGGAGGGGGTTTTGTTTTCTTTTTTTTTTGACACAACCACAATGTGGCAATCAACATTCTCTCTCTCCATTTGTCTATATACATATATGTTTCTATATCTCGTTATAGATATCTGTATCTGTCTATCCATCCATCTACCCACTTATCTGTAATCAATTTTCTCCATAGCAAATGTTCACAGAAATGGAACTTCTGAATCAAATAATAGGTATATTTAAGTTTTTAATTATTCAAAAATATGTTCTCATTATCTCTTGTCTTCAATTTTTAGAAGTTCTTTGTATATTATTAATATTTTATCAGTGCATGTTCTTTTCACCAGGAACAGAAGCTAAGTGTTCCAGTTATCTATTGTTGTGTATCAAATAAACACAAATCTTAGTGATTTAAAACAACTATTTTATTATTCTTCATAGCATTTGACTAACCTCAGCTGCGCAGTTTGTTTGTTGTTTGTTTTTTGTTTTGAGAATCTCTCTCATGCACTACATGTTAGATAGCGACTGGGTTACAGTCATTTGAAGACTCAACTGAGTTGATTATCCAAAATGAATTTTATTTCCTCACAGATAGGATACTGATATAGTTGGGGGTGGGAGATCTCTGGGCATCTTTTTCTTTCTCTTTTTTTTTTTTTTTTTTTTTTTGAGACAATCTGGCCCTGTCGCCTAGGATGGAGTGCATTGGCGTAATCTCAGTTTATTGCAACCTCTGCCTCCTGGGTGCAAGCAATTCTCCTGCCTCAGCCTCTGAGCAGCTGGGACTACGGGCATGTGCCAACACACCCAGCTAATTTTTGTATTTTTAGTAGACAGGGTTTCATTATGTTGGCCAAGCTGGTCTTGAACTCCTTACCTCAAATGATCCACCCTCCTTGGCCTACCAAAGTGCTGGCATTACAGGCCTGAGCCACAGCACCCAGCTCCCTTTTTTCTCTCTCCACATAGCCTCTCCATATGAATAGCTAAGGCTATCTTACATCACGGTGGTCTCAGAGTTGTCAAACCCCTTACGGGGTAACTAGCTTTCCTCAGAGTAAGTATTTCCAGAGTACAGGCAGAAGCTTCAAGACCTCTTGAAACCTAGCCGTAGAAGCCACACAGCATTACTCACACCACTTTCTGTCAGTTAGAAGTCATTTACAGTGTTAAAACAGAGCCAGGGGAAGGAAATCAGATAGGGGCATGAACACTAGAAGAGATAGTATGTTTTCTAATATACTTATTTAAGATTATTTTTTGCAAGCATTTTCTCAATTTTATTCTTCATCCAACAAGGTTTTATATGTTCTATTTTCTGTATCATTGAGATCAAATATTTTCTAATTCTAACATTCCTAACACTAATCTTCTATCAAATTTAAATACCGATTTGTATGCAGTCAGCTTTCCAAGGTAATACTTCTGCAGTTTATTATATTTTTGCCATGGTAAAACAGCTATTATTGGCTTTTTGACCCGCTACTGAGTTGCATAACCAATACTATTTATTTTATGTTATTTTACATACATAAGCCCATTTCTGATATGAAACTCAGTATTTCTCCTTTTATAGCCTCAGCTAGATGTAATGGAGATTCAACGTCTCCATTACATAAAACAAAATTTCACTTCCTTTTCTAGTTAAAAAAAAAAAAGACTATCTGGAACTAGATAGTCTGTTGCTGCTATGCAGACTCTGTTTCACCGGGTTGCCAGGAACCCTCAACTTCACTTGCACCAAACTTCGGTTAATGCCATTATACATACTGAGAAGGAGATAATCCAATATATTCACATCCTATACAATGGTTTAACAAAATGGAGAAGGAGGGTTGCCTTTTCTTTTAAGATCACTAAAAAGTATCTGCCCCAAAATCTGCAACTACAATTCTAAAACATTATAAATATAATCTTATTTTGGTTATCACATTACCTCTAGCAGAAACTAGGGATTGTATTCACAATTCTGGGTTATCACATTCCTACAAAAAATACTGATAAGTTCAGAAGAAAGGTAGATGTATGTCAGGGATATATCTAGCAATTTTTACTACTATGGATTATAGAGCTGTAGTGATTATTAAACATTATCTATTTGTGTTTTATATTTTCCTATATTTAGCATATTTTTTTAAATTTAAAAGTAAAATTAAATTTAAGCCAAATATTTAAAAATTATTGCTCGTGATTTATTTTAAGTTTAAATATAGCAAATATAATTGGTTACATTTGTCATAAATGCTTTTCTGGTCAGGACAGTGATAAATAGTATTTAAATAAACAGATATTTAGTCAAATAACCTGACTAAAATTCCAAATTTTCCAACATTTCAAATAATTTTTTTACATTTTTTCTGTCTAACAAGGATTACCCAAATACCTATTTGCACAACTTATTAAGAATGTAATATTTTCTAGCCAGGTGCGGTGGCTCACACCTGTAATCCCAGTACTTTGGGAGACTGAGGCGAGCAGATCACCTGAAGTCAGGAGTTTGAGATCACACTGGCCAACATGGTGAAACCCCGTCTCTGCTAATACAAAAATTAGCCAGGCATGGTGGTGCACGCCTGTAATCTGAACTACTCAGAGGCTGGAGCAGGAGAATCACATGAACTCGGGAGGTGGAGGTTGCAGTGAGCCGAGATCGCACCATTGCACTCTACCCTGAGCAACAAGAGTGAAACTCTGTCTCAAAATAAAAAACAAATGTAATATTTTCTTCAACATAATAGGAAACAGCAAAAATGTATCATATTTGATACGTCAATGAAGATGATAAGAGCATATGATCCAGAAATCCCAGTTTGGGGCAAATATCCAAAGGAATTGAAATCAGGATCTTGAAGAGGCATTTGCCTCTTGTTCCTTGCTGCATTACTTGCAATAACAAAAATACAGAAACAACCTAAATGTCCATTAATGGATGAGTGGATAAAGAAAATGTGGGATATACATACAATGCAATGTTATTTGCAAGGAAATTCCTGTCATTTGTGGCAACATGGATGAACCTGGATGATATCATGCTAAGTGACATAAACCAGACACAGAAAGAAAGATACTGCATGATCTTACTTATATGTGGAATACAAAACAGTCAAATTCATAGAAGTAGAGAATACAATGGTGGTGGTCAGAGGCTAGGGTAAGAGAGAAATGAGGAGGTAACATGAGATTTGGAGAGGACAAAGCCTCAAAACCACATTAATGACTCTCATCTATAAGGGATTACTCTGTGTTCTGTGGTCATTAGGAAGAACTGTAAGATATTTTCTCTCTAGTGCACCCATTATTTTTGCCTCTAGATTGTTCTCTGTTTTTGTTCCACATGCCCCACAGCAGCAGAGAATACAGCAGTGACGTTGTTCTCAAAGTAACCAGGTTTATATTTTACCCGAATTTTTCTGCTTTCTCGAATTCCTTTTTCCTGATTATGTATTTGAACATACCAGATTGTTTCATACTGAAATATAATCTGGCCTTATTAGTTTTACATTAAATTCAAACTTATTTGACCTTGACTATATATAAATATTCATGTACAGTAATATAAAAGAAGACTATAACAGTGTGTTAATAAATCTTAAATTATTTTCATTTCCTGTACTTAAATAGTTGAGTGTATACATTTTTGCATTCAGTTAAATTTAACATGTGCTTTCGTAATATGGAAAGTGAAATATTACCATGCTGTGTGGGCCATCTGTACTGGGAAATATATTTACCTCTGAGTAAATTTTAGTAGCAAGTATTTTGACTTCTGTGCTATTGAGAAATTTAGACTTCACCTTATAACTCTGAAGTTAAGAGATTTCTATTAATATATCATATTCCAACATAATTTATTATATTAGTATGTTTCATACATTGCATAAGATAGAATCAGGATAAAAGTAAATAAATACAACCTTTTTGAGTCGTGACTTTATTTCACTTTAAAAATTTATTTTCATACCAAAAAAATCATTCAAAGACAGTATTAAAAAGGATGACAAAATACATAAAATTGGCAGATGTCTTACACTAAAATAAAGTTGGTTTTCCCAGATCTGAATGGTTTTATACTACTTGATATTCCCAATTGGTCCTGAAATAAACTCCATACCCTCCCTAATACTATCTGAATGGCACTAATATTTTACTATATTAATATTCGAATGGCGATTTGGAAGGGAGAGGTCTCACTCACAGGTATCTTCTTAAAGGTATGACTATACTGTGTAATTTAACCTCATGACCATTGACTAGACCAAAATGCATATCTGACTCAAAGCAAGCAATACTAATCTGTATTCATAAATTTGGACTGGTACCATTATTGGTCCATTATTAGCAAAATATGTGAATTGAGAATGAGGGGGTAAAAAAAGCAGGATGAGAAAAAAATAATACTGCACTAATGTATGAGAAATTGATGAAATAGTTTTTATTTTCCCTGAAAGTTTCCTGGTTCTCAGATCCAGTTGCTTTTCCTGCCCCTGGGTTCCGTGACATCTCTATCAAGATAACAAACACTATCTTTATATAAATTAATTTGACAAGACATCTAAACTTGTAACTAAAGTCTTCAGTAGAGCTAGAACAAAATAAATTTGCTCTGTATTAGGACCATCAATTACATTGTCCAGGAAATTTACAAAGATAAAACAGTTAATCACCCTAAGGTCATCGGGGATTTTCCTCTCTGGGTATTCTTACAAATCTACATAAATCACCTACAGTGAAACAGAGCTCTGATTATGGTGCTGGGATCAAGCTTCCTATCAGAATCACTAATGCAAAAGATTAAATCCAATCTGAGTGTGAAATTAGGGATAAATTGTCTTTCTGTAAAACACCAAAATTGTAGACAGAGTTAAGATTCATTCAGCTCATCTGTCACAGTCTCTTGTATTTTTATCCTGGTTAGGGCTTGTTGCAGAACCAGACAAGTCTAAAAAGTGTAAGCATTCTAACTAAATAATAAACCATAGGTACTCTGGTAAAATCTTCAATAAAAATCCAAATACTGACTAGAAAGTAAAATGAGGTAGCAGAAACTGTTTTTCCATTAGGTGAGAGCATGCCCTGTCTAATAGCGTTAACAGTGATGTATGTCTCCCAGTGATAGAATCTAGTGGCTTAGGAGAACAGCTGAAGCTGTTAGAATCACCCAGGCCACATCTTGAAGGCTTTGCTGCCTAGAAATTCCCTCCACCAGATACCCTAAGTCATCACTCTCAAGTTCTAACTTCCACAGATCCCTAGGACATCGACAGATGCAGCTAAGTTATTTGCTAAGACATAGCAAAAGTGACCTTTACTCCATGTCCCAATAAGTTCCTCATTTCCATCTGAGACCTCAACAGCCTAGAATTCATTGTCCATATCACTATCAGCATTTTGGTCCAACCATTTAACCATTTAACCAGTCTGTAAGAAGTTCCTAACTTTCCCTCACCTTCCTGTCTTCTTCTGAGCTCTCAGCACACTTACCTACTCTACCTGTTACCTAATTCCAAAGCTGCTTCCACATTTTCAGGTGTCTTTATAGCAGTGCATCACTCCTTGGTACCAATTTTCTATATTAGTCATTTCTGGCATTGCTATAATGAAATACTGGAGACTGCGTAATTTATAAAGGAAAGAAGTTTAATTGGCTCGTGGTTCTGCAGTCTATATGGAAAACATGATGCTGGCATCTGCTGCATTTCTGAGGAGGCCTCAGTAAACTTACAATCACAGTGGAAGGCAAAGGGGGAGCAGGCATGTCGTATGGCCAGAGCACGAGCAAGAGAAGAAGGGAGGCTACCACAACACACACTTTTAAACAACAAGATCTCATGAGAATTCACTCACTATATCGAGGACAGCACCAAAGGGATGGTGATAAATTATTCATAGGAAATCTGCCCCCATGATTCAATCACTTCCCACCAGGCCCCAACTCTGACACTAGGGATTGCATTTCAACATGAGATTTGGGTGAAGACACTCATCCAAACCATATCATTGAGGTAATGATAATAGTCTAAATTATAGATACAAAAAATATAATAGTTGTTCCCAAGACATGGGGAGTGGGAGACATTGGGAATTATTTTTTTAATGACTATAGAGTTTCAGCTTTACAAGATCAAAAGAGTTATGGAGATATATGGTAATTGGATATTACAAATGTATTTAATACAACTGGGCTGTACGCTTAATAATAATGACAGTGGTAAATTTATATTACAACAACAAAATAAAAAGAAAAAATATACCTGATGATTTTTTAAAGTTTACGTATATACATACTATATGTGATATTTTTAGCCCTATACCTAGTACCTTTTCAGTAACTAGTAAAATTATATAATTATTACAGAAAAGTGCTATGAATTCTTATTTTATTTGGAGTCCACTCAGAGTCTTTAAATTCCATGAAAGATACCAGAAGCATATTTGTTGTATAGAGAGTAGAACAAACTTTACCCAACTTAGATGGCTTTTATGAATACCTTGATTCTAGCTACATGGCAGACATTCAGTTTTGTTATTTAAATTCAAAATTTAGTTAAGTAACACTGGTAACCATGTAGCTGAGGGAGTGAAGGGCTGATGGGTAAAAATACGACAGTAAAAGTATTTTAAACCATGCAGAAATCACATATTCAATTAGAATATGTGACTGCAAGTATGTAGCATAAAATGTTGAAATCACACATACATTTGGCTACATGTGTGATTCCACATTGGTATAATATCAAATAAGTTGACTTCGTCCCTGGCTCCCTGGAGGTAACTTCAAAATCTTTGAAGATTCTCTAATGATATGAGTGTTATTCATAATAGGCCCCTTAAACCAAATCTGAGATTAAAGTAATGAGATGACTAAGGATGGGTCACACCAGAAATAATAATGATGAGATTAGAACTTTCGAGCTTTTGAGCCAGATGATATCAGTCCTACCTCTGAGAAAGAAAGGAGGGATATTTTGTTCAAGCATGTGGCCAGTGATTTAATTAATCATGGCTAAGTACTGAAACTCTAAGTATATAAAAACTTTGAACAATAAGACTCCAGTGAGCTTCCTGATACACATGAATGTTACAGGAGGATGACACATCCTGAGGACAAGAAACTCCACATTTGGTATCTTGCAAGACTTCACCCTATGAGTCCCTTTATTTGGCTTGTTCTGACGTGGATTATTTTTAACAAAACTGTAATCATAAATTCAGTGATTTCCTGAGTTCTGTTAGCTGTTCTAGTAAGTTATCAAACCTGAGGTGATAGTGGGCACTGCCAAATTTCTAAAAAGTTGGTCAAAAGTGGTGCTTGCAGCTATCGTCTGAAGTAAGGATAAGCAGTCCGATGGAACTCTGCCCTTAACCTGAGAAGTCTGTGCCAACTCCAAGTAGTTACTGTACATACTGCATTGCAAACACTGAAAAAAAGTTCCTAAGTGTAAGCATCTCACAGATATGTCAGAAAATACAATATAATTTTTTAATTTTTAATTTTTTAATTTTTCATGAAATAAGTAACCATAATAACTTTTCAAAGGCAATATTTCACAGACAGTAAAATTATATATTTTAAATTACACACATAGTATTATCAAAACTTGAGATTTGTTGAAATAGGTTTTCTCTGATTCTCCTGAGAATAGTTGCAGGACCAGAAATTATCCATAGCATATTTTGAAATAAAGTAAAAATTAATGGTTTTTTTCAGAACAAGTTTTTAGAAATATGTAAAATAAAGTGGACATCATTTTAGTGACAACTCTAAAGTGTTGACAGCCAAGGTGGCAGGTAAATTGTTAATGTGTCTGAGAATTCCTAACATTATAACCTGGTTAGAATTTAGCATTAACAATAAATATGTTATATGCTATCAATATGAATATTTGCTGTTTAATCAATACAAGATTTAGAAGTTTGATTTGAAATTGTTTCATTTGGGAGGAAAGACAGTTTTAGTCCATATTTTAATATATAAAATATAAAATTGTATTCTCATTTTTAAATCTTTTTCAGCTCAATATTCTGTAACATGTTTTTCTTCTCAAGTAAAAAAATTCCTTTCCTTAATGAAACTAAAGGTTATTTCCTGGATGTCTATATATCTATCCCAGATGTTCAACAATTGGCAGGAGATTTTTGTCATGTAGAAATGAAGGTTAAATTTGGTGACGGTATTATTATTTATAAATTCAAATAAAAGCTGAATGCAAGTATTATATGAATAATCGGCACTAACAATAAGTAATAATAACAAGTTTTATTAAAATATTAAAAAAGAGCTATTTGTTAAGTGTGAGAACATTCATAGGGTCTTACGATTTTTATGGAGATTAACATTGCTAATTTTTCTGTTTTATATAAAAAGGATAAATTAATGTTTAATAGTAAATTATTTCATGAGAGCAAATATTTGTTTTTTGTAAGAATACATAAACGAACATAAAAATGAAATACTATGTGTAAAAAATCTAGAAAACATAAATTTTGAATTAAATGAACAAAAGGAAAGTTGATTGAAGGTCATCATTGTGGCTTGACCAAATAAAGTAGAGAATCCAGCTCAAAGGCTCTTATTCCACTCCCAGGTATCTTGGCAGCATTTAAGAAACATAAAATGATAAAATGAGACTTACTGCTTGAGGAAGCTTTAGGATATTGCTAGGCTCTTGCTTACTCTACTGATGCAGGTCAATTCTAGGTTAATTACAAATTCCATGTCAGTTATAAATCTTATAGTTCTATATCTCCACATGGCCTTTCCCCTTCTATATCTTGTCATCACTGCTTGGAAAGGACAATTTCATGAGAATTGTAGAAACTTACTTTGCTGACTCTGTGCATGAGCTGAACTCAAAGTATTCTATTGCTTTATTTGCTCTTCTTTGTCCTCTTTTATTGAAGAGAACACCAGTAGAGCAAATAATAGGCACCAGATGGGTTTCAGAATTCAAAAAT
This sequence comes from Homo sapiens, assembly GCF_000001405.40. Classification (NCBI taxonomy): domain Eukaryota; kingdom Metazoa; phylum Chordata; class Mammalia; order Primates; family Hominidae; genus Homo; species Homo sapiens. Next base: position 57,092,140 of record NC_000010.11, read on the forward strand.
TTGGAGAATGTAGTAAGACAATGCCATGTAAATTCTGTATTACATAAAATTTCTGGCAGGATCGGGGCAACATCCTGTAATCAAATCTATTGATAGTTTTTAGTAAAATATGTGAACATTTACGCAAACTAGGATACATAAAGACAGACTATGAATAACTTTATGTTTTTTCAAGGCCGACTTTGTCTCAAAATGAGTTTTGCCAAATTTTTATTTTTTGTATATTTTGGATTTCAGAATTTCGGTGAGATTATTATGTAATTGTACTACATTTTAAATGTATTATTATTTATTTTTTATAATTACCCCATGAGTGAAGTTTTTTGTTTTTTTTTTATTTTTGTTTTGTTTTATTTTTGAGACAAAGTCTCGCTCTGTTGCCCAGGCTGGAGTGCAGTGGCGCCATCTCAGCTCACTGCAAGCTCCGCCTGCCAGGTTCACCCCATTCTCCCGCCTCAGCCTCCCGAGTAGTTGGGACGACAGGCGCCCGCCATCACGCCTGGCTAATTTTGTTTTTGTATTTTTAGTAGACACGGGGTTTCACCGTGTTAGCCAGGATGGTCTCGATCTCCTGACCTCGTGGTCTGCCCACGTCGGCCTCCCAAAGTGCTGGGATTACAGGAGTGAGCCACCACGCCCGGGCAAGTGAAGTTTTATTATCACCTGTTGAGAAGTTTACTGACTTACCTAGAGTCATACAGCTACTAAATTGTCATGTAAGATTTAAAACCGTCTGACTTGAAAGCATATTGCATCAGCAACTGAACTATACTATTTTGCAATACGACTGAGACCTGAATGTATTTAAGAATATGCATGTGACACAGAACCAAAAAGTGAATTTAGGAAAATAGTGTATGGTTTCAGCAGAAATATTCTTTCAGTTGACAGACAATAGGCAAAGTTATTATTCAATGATAAATTCTACTATTTTCTGTGTCAATATGTATTACAATTACCAAAGACTACCAAAATATATGGTTTTTAGCTTGGTTCATCTTCGGGTCTCATGATTAAATATGAGAGTGTGGAACTTAGAGAAGATTATCTACTAGTAGATAAGTGGAGTTGTAAAACAAGGTAGAAATGTGTACTAGAACTTGACTTAATTGGAAGCCACTGTCAGTGGCCCATTAATATATCGTGGAAGGCTTTAGCTAAATGGGAAGGAAGGTAAAGAGTTTAAATGAGGCTGAAAATTATTAAAAGGTGTGTGCATTGACCTAATGTATGGGTATGTTTGAATATGTTTGGCTTATTCTGGAAGATTGTATATCCTTATGGAGAGTCTAGATTTTAGGAAACATAAATATTCTAGACACTGCTCTAGGTAAAATAGTATGGTTACAAGCATACTCTAAAAGTTAACACCCTCAAATCAAAGTTCACTAGTAACATATCTCTAATAGATTACAGTTGAGCATATTGACTCTTCACAATGAGGAAGAATGCGCAACATAGAAAGTCAGGGGGGGTGTCATTGAGAAGATACTTGAAAGTACTTATAGGATTTAAACTTATGTTAGATTATTTGAGGAAGGGTTCAAAAAAGCAGCCCTTTGATTTCGATACGATGCTATCAGGATAAGGGAATAATTTGGTTTCCCGATTACATCTTATCTAAATAGTTGGTAGAATGAAACTAAGCTAAAGCTGCAATAGGTAACAGGGCTGCAGTCACTCATGTTAGCTAGGATAGGAAAAAGGGATTTTTGTTTTTGTTTTTGTTTTTGTTTTTGCTTGTTTTTTGAACAATGTTCTTGCTTCTCTGAGTTCAGGCATTATTACAGAGTGTTTTTGTTTTTTTCTTAATCTGTCATGGTCACACAGTTATTATTTTGTGAACACTGAATTAGTGTTCAATGAAAATGTTTATATTCAAAGAGCACCAAGACCTAGCTGTAAGTATAGCTCTTAGCAACGAGGTTTAACTGATAGATACCAAGCCATTCTGGCTAACAGGGACTGCTGTTCTATTCCTCAAACTAAAGAAAGATAGCTAGAGTTTAAAAGGATAACATGATTTTGAGGGGAAGCAAGTGGACTCTACTATCAGCAAAGACATAGAAATAAGTGTACCTACTTGGTGCTATTGAGAAATGAGAGCACATGCTTGGTGCTATTGAGTCTTAAGTAGACTCTCACCAAGCATGTGCTCTTGGTGCTATTGAGAGTCTACTTAAGACTCAATAGCACCAAGCATGTGCTCTCATTTCTAGCCTTTCAGGACTCTGAAGAGTTACTTCAAAGTTAGTTTGAGCTATTCTGTTGATTTTGATGTCAGGAAATATACTATGCTGTCCAAGTGCTAGGATGTCACTTTATGGATAAAGAAATGTGGGAACACATGTTAATTTTATTTTATTTTGTAAGCGTTCTTACAAAAACATAAAAGATGACACTTACACTATTTTCATTAAGAATATTTTACTGCATATTTAAAGTAGAAAACATGATGTTATGGGATACATATAGATAGTAAAAAGATTATTATAGTGTAGCAAATTAATATATTAATCATACCACACAGTTATTCATGTTTTTTGTGTGTGGCAAGAGCAGATTATTAAAAGTCTACTCATTTAGTATAAATACCAAATACAGTACAATTTTATTACCTACAGTCCTCATGTTGCAAAAGTCATTATAGGAAACAGTATGGAGATTTCTAAAAAAATGAGAGAAATGAGAAACAGAACTACTATATGACCTAGCAATGCCTCTGTTGGGCATACACTGGCAGCAGCAGCCAGTCTGGAGCGGCCACTAAGTAGACACTGGCTGCAGTTGGGGAGACACGACAGGGGCTGTGCACTCCATTGAGCCTGCAGGAGCCAGGAACAAGCAGTTGCCCTGCCCCCTTCCAAGTTGTGGGGGCAGGAACCCCACCCTCCCAGACGTAGCTGCAGCCACCCAGTCAGACCTAGGTGGCCCCCCTGAACCTGCAGGCTCAGAAGTGCCTCCTCCTGCTGCCTGGCCTCCCCCTGCTGCAGGTGCCTGCTTGGATTTCAGAGCAAAATTGTGGAGCCTAGGCATTGTCATGACTAGGCCAGGTGTGTGTGCACTCCGTGCCATGCTGACACTCAAGCCCCCTGCTGCCTCAGTCTCCTTCGGACTTTGGGCGCCGACGAGCACAGGAGGGAAGCCGAGGTGGGTAGGCTGAGGTCAGCTCAGCAAGGGCCTGCAGGCACTCCTCAGCATGAACATCTGGGAGTTGTGGATGACATATAGATGGCAGCAGGAGGCAGACAGTCTCTGGGGTAGAAAGGAGTGGGTCCCTGGTGAAGCCCTACCTTCAAGCCAGGGATGACCTGAAGCCAGAGGGCCGGCTGTCAGTTCTGGGTGGAGTTCCCTGACAGGAGTGAGAACTTATGGTGCTTTTTCTGGGCCCATACATGGCCACCCATGAACCAATCAATATGCACCTCCTTCCTTCTCATCCCATGAAAACACAGGACTCAGACAGACTTTGGAAGTCATCAGGTCTAACTGCCTGTGGATAGGAGCTACCACTCTGAGTCTCCTCTCAGCTGACAGCAGCACAGACCCAGGATGACTGGCCTGCAGATAGTAGCTATCCACTCCAGGTCTCCTCTCCTCTGAGGGATGCACACTCATTGGGATGACCTGCCTGCAGATAGGAGCTACCCATTCTGGGCATCCTCACTGCTGAGAGCTGCACTCATCAGGACAACCTGCCTGCTGAAAAGAGCTACACACTTCAGGTCTCCTGAGAGCTGTACTGTTACTCAATAAGGCACCTCTCTGCCTCGCTCACCCTCCAGTTGTCCACATACCTCATTCTTCCTGGACGAGGGACAAGAACTTGGGACACACCAAATCATGAGACTGAAAGAGCTGTAACAAAAACAGGGCTGAAACACACTCCACACTAGCCACATTGTGGGTGACAAGGAGAGAAGAGCTGTGGCCCTTTGGGGATTCCAAACACAGGGACTCCCCCAGCCACATCTGTGACATCCTCTTTGATGCTCTGTGGTTTCTGGCATCTGCAAGCTTCCAGGCACCACCACATGCCTCTCATCCAGACATGGGCACCCACAGTGGGAGCCGATTGTGGTGCATGAGACTCAGCAACAGGCTTGCACGGACAGCGCTTCTGTTAGAATGTAGGTCTGCCCACCCTGCCAGCAGCAGAAGCAACACCCTGCACTCACTTGCTCATGCACTCCTTGCCTGTCTGCACCTGGCTTCCCCTTGGCAGGCTTGGTGTCCAGGCTGGTAGTGCTAGCTGAGCACAGCCTGCCAGACCTAGTCAGTGGAACAAAACTTGGACAAAGGTGTCACTGGCCATTGAAGTTTACAGCTGGAAAAGCAACTCCCTAAGGATCCTGTGACAATATTACGATGCGATGTGAGATATCTGTACTTCTATTTTCCTTGTAGCATTATTCACAGTATCCAAGACATGGAACCAACCAAACACTGACATGTGTATCGGTTTTTTATTTCTGTCTTATGTCTCTTTGTAGTATAAGGAAGTACATGCTAATGGGTAATAAATGAGTTTTGTCATCAAATTTTCTGAGTTCAGATTAGGACTCCTCCAATGTACTATCTCCGTAATCTACTAATATAGCAAATTTAATTTTACATCATGTCATCTATAATATGGTAAAAAAATAGTAACTATTTCATAGGGTTGGTTTCAGGAATAATATAGTACTTAGAATTAATTAATGTCTGTTTATATTATTATCTCTGTAATTATTTTCACATTTAAAAATAAAAAAAATCCAATATCCATTATCCATTTTAACTTATATTTCAAAATAATCATAGAGAAAAAAATCTTAAAATCAAATATCAAGTATGATGGCCAAAACTAAAAAATTATCATGAGCCTCCAACAAAATCAAATGATCCTCACACTCACAAGTTTCCCCACTATGAAAAATGACAACTAGGGCCATGGCCTCCTTACAGAGACAGCCATGTTAGATTCCTAACTCCATTTACAGAGAAGAGAGGCTGGGTTGTATCCTAGTGAAGGAGTTTTTTTTTAGCATCCTTCACCTCAAAGAGAATTGAAACTTCGGGTTTTAAAAATCATAGTCAGTCATTATCTATATTTTCTTTCTAAATTGGAGAAATTGTGTGAATGTGGGAAGGAAAAGTTTGAAACTGAAAACATCACTCAAAATTATATTCAATTAAAGTGTCTGACTATAGAACATAATATTCAAACTGACAAACATATCTAAATATCACAAATAAAAACAAAACATGGGAATATTGCCAGAAGTGTCTGGGGTAATAGTAGACAATTTATGACAATCAAGTAACTTGATTACCAAAGCATCAAAAAGCATTTAATGATTCTGGAGGAGAAGGAAAACACAAATAATATAGTTTTGGCAAAAGGAGAAACTAGACTTTTTTTCCATTAATACGCTGAATTGATAAAATGGTTTTTAGATAAAATTTCATAAGAATTTCAGAAATAAAATTCAGATAAATGAAAACTAGAATTTTTTTTAATAAAAGGAAAAGAAGGTTCAGGAAAATCATACTAGTAAGAGCAAAAACCGAACTTCAGGCATGGATACATTCTTTAACAGAGTGACTTATTCTGCATACTTATTCAGGGACATAGCTGAAATAGTCTATTTTCCTGGTTGAATGGCCTCAGAGTCACTGAGTTTTCAAGCTTATTGGTTGCAATCTTTTTCTTTTTCCGTGAAGGTCATTGTCTTAAATATACTGCATACAAATCTTACCCCTTGTACAAATGCCCAGTTTTTGTTCTCATCACAGCACATTCCTCAATTTAAAGTAGACCAAAATATATGAGTATAATACATAAATATATCTGGCTTTTATTTCTGTACAATACTCAAATCCTAGTCAGTTACAAAGACCTGAGCTTGTGAATTCCCTGCAATTCTTTCCTCCTAACCTTGCTCTTACTCTTGTGCTTTTTGATCAGTAAATTACACTTACTGTCCTCCCATTGCTCCATTCAGAAATAAAGTGTTATTCTCTAAAAGGACAGTTATAAGTGACTCTGTTAAAATTTTAACTCATGTAATGTCATTCCCCTTCTCAATACTGTCAAATAAATTATTATCTCACTTAAATTCCAAATTTCTTAGTTTGGCTAACAGGGCCCTACATGCCCTGGCTCTTGGCTGCTCTCTGTGTTCACTTCTTACCACCCTCCAAGTCGTTCTTTCCACTCTAACCACAGTGGCCTCCTTTCATTTCTCAAACATACCCCAAGCCTTTGCATTTTCTCTTTCCTTGTCAGCCACATGGCTTGCTTCCTCACTTAAAAACAGTATACAGTTTACAGAAAGGCCTTTATTCACCTTATTTCAAACAGTACCTCCATAATGCTATCTACTTACTTTGTATCATTTCTATTCGACTTGGAAGGATTTAAAAGCAGATGTATAAATCTCCATCTTCTTGCTTTGCATGGGAGCTCATGAAAGGGTTTATTGATGAAGTTTCCTGATAAATATTTAACAACTACTTCTGAAACAAGGCAAAAAGAAAGTCTTAATAGCATTTGCTGATTTCATGACTTCTAGTGGTATACCAAAATTATGTCCCTGAGCGTGAAGTTGGGAAGAGATGCCAACAAAAGATCTGCCAGTTAGCACAAGGTCAGCTCCAGTCCAAAATGAAACCATAACATCAAAGTAGCTTGAAATGTTGGAACAACTAACTCATGACTTACAGTTTCTGTAGAGGGTCTGTAGCAGTGTTTGTAGGAGCAAGAAATAAACTACTGTCTCTAAGCCACTGCAATATAGATGTTCTTGCTATTGTAAAATAAACTAGCCTATCTCGATGTATACAAATATGATTCAGGGCTGGGGACATCAACCTGGCTCCAAGATTTCTAGTAGTGATGCAAATGGCATTTTTACATAATTCACAGGCATTACGATAAAAATAGATAGCTTAGGAGAACAATTGCTATATTAAGAAAATTGGTAGAAATTCTCCTGAAAATCTTCAATTAAGTGGACAATATATAATATAATAAAAATAATAACGATTATTTGTTGCTAACTTTTTTCTGTAAGGTGTTCTAAGTACTTTACGGCCTTATTTCAACTTTTTCATTCAACAAACCTTAGAGGAATATGCTTTATTACCTGTAATTACTGCTATTAAAAATGAGTTTTGGTGTTAAGAATTTTACTCATGCTCAAGCAGCTAGTAAGGGGTTGTTGACTTTTAAAATTTGTTTTCTTTTTTAAATGTCTTCGTTTTGCTATAGAAAATGGAAAACAAAATGTATATGACTTCTCTCTTTCGTCAAAGAAGTTATAAAATGAGAATTGTTCATTCTCTAAACGCAGAGATTCAGAATTAATTAAAATATAAATCAAGGCACTTGGAATTAAAATATGTTGTTATTCAGATTATTTGTTGTAAATCATTTTTTCCTGATAAGAGAAGCTAAGAATACCAAATATTTACCACCTAGATTGTTAAATAATGAACCTACCTGCTAACTAATCAGAATAGACAAAAAGTTAAAATCATTTCATTATTATATATGTAGCCATTTTTTTAGTTACTTTTCTGCAACTGCTCAAAAACATATTTTTGCATCATTAAACATCTGCAGAAATGTCAGAAATCTATTCCTTAAACTTAAACATAAGAGAATTACTTCAATAAAAATGTTTTTAGAGGAAATAGTATTATTTCATATATGTTACACTTAAGTTGTATATTACCATAAAATTTTTGTCTTCATTTTTTTCTCCAAAATGCTGCTAAGGAAGAAAAGAAAAAAAAATAGTTTTTCTTCATTGTCTGCTCTGATTTATTATCTCTTTCGGCAAAAATTGAATGGCATACATTATTTAAAGAAATATATGAAAGTGCTTTTGATCTTTTTACACATAAACATTTAAACAAAGCCTTAAATGTAACAGTAAATAGAAAGAATTTAAATACCAATTTCTTATTCCAGAGCACATGGTCTTAACCACCAAAAATTGTTTGTATGTTTTAGTGTCTCTAAATGTTTTAATAAATGTCAAAGTTTGACCATTCTGGACTGTTTCTGTTATCTTCAGTTAAACTAAAAACTGAAAATGATCATCACAACTCTTTTTTTATTATTTTATTTTATTATTATTTTTTAATTTTTTGAGACACAGTCTCGCTCTGTCACCCAGGCTGGAGTGCAGTGGTGCGATCTCGGCTCACCGCAAGCTCTGCCCCCCTGGTTCATGCCATTCTCCTGCCTCAGCCTCCCGATCATCACAACTCTTGATCTTCCATCCAATTGGCATAGGAGTAAAACTTACAGTACCTACTTTTAATAATAAAGCATATGGGTTTATTGCACATTTCCCCTTTAAATTATACTACTATATAATAATAATTATACAAAACACAAGAGAGAAAGTTATATACAACAAAAGGCTTTAGAGGACTAATTTTCAAAGTGCTTAGGAAAGAGCCCATGTTAAAATAATTACTTCAAATGCAAATAACAAATGATTAGATTTAATGTTCACTAAGGAAAGATCGCACACAAAAATGATATGGGTTGATTAAATTTTTTCCACAAAAAAACACCTATAAAGAAAATGTGATGATTAATTTATTGGGATAAAACACTAGGTTCATATAATATAGGAAAATTAATATGTTAATTTTTAAAGCATTAGCTCACATGAATAGACAGTGTACAAACTGTACGGGAGAAACTTTCTGTAAATAAGGGAACAAGGTTTTATATGTGGTTATTCTTTAGTAAAACTGATTAACTACAATGGTTAGAGAACAACTCTTACTATAATTTTTTTAAAAATGTTTTATTTCTCTAGATTATTCTTATATAATCTTAATATTTATTGAGATATAATTGACATTTCATAAACTATGCATATTAAAATGTACAATCTGCCAGTTTTCACCGTTAAGTATGTATCTGTAAAACCATAACCAGTCAAGATAATAAATATACTTATCACTTCCAAAATTTTACTCATGCCCCATTTTAATCCCTTCCTCTTACCCCTTACCCTCATTCCCAGATTGCCACTGATTTGTTTTCTGTCACTATAGATTAGTTTGCATTCTCTATTCTTTAATATATATGAGATAATATAATATATATTATATTTTTCTGGCTTCTCTTCCTCAGCATAATTATTTCTAGATTTGTGTACCTTGTTGCTGCTACCAGTAGCTCATTCCTTTCAACTGATAATGTTTTTGCAATGTAAACAATTTGTTTAATTATTCACTGTTGATGAGTGTTTGAGTTTTTTATAGTTTTGAGTTATTACACATGCAGCTGCTATGGGCATTCACATCTTTGTGCTTTTATTTGGGGATGAGGGTAAATTCTGATGTGTGAAATGGCTAGATTATATGATTATATATATATATATATATATATATATATGCTTAACTTTTAAAGAAATTGCCAAACTGTTATCCAAAGCAGTTGTAACATTTTACATTCTCTGAAAAGTAAATGAGAGCTACAACTTGTTCAGCGTGTGGTCTAGTCACTTGTTTTGCCTCTTTCTTCTTCACTTTTACTCTCCTCTTCTCCCCTGGAATGGTATAAAGAAATAAATGTTAAACAGGTCTGACAACATCACTTACCAACTATGACAATATGGACAAATTTCAGTTTCTTCATCCATTCAATGGAATTTATAATGACTACATAGAAAGGTTATCTTTTCTCCACTAAATTGCCTTTTCACTTCGTTGAAATTGAATTGTCCATACATGTGTTGGTTTGTCTCTGTTCAATTAATTTCTTTGCCTACAGTTATTCAGTACCACACATCTTGATTACTGTATCTTTAGAAGTCTTGAAATCAGGTATTAATTGTCACACCTTAAGAAAGGGATTTTCTGACAGCCTGTGTGAAGTTGAATTTCTGTGACTCTATCCTCATTTATTTTCTTATATAGAATTTTCCTCTGTCTTTGTTGCTGCCTTTGTCTTCCTCTATCAAATACAAATTCTTATAACATATTATCAAACATATGTATTTGTGTAATATGTACTATACAGCAAATTTATAAGCAAATGAACATAAAATAATTTTGTTTATTCATTTATTTGCATTTAATCTGCTTTCCTTCCTAGAATGTAATATCCTGAAATAGGGATATTTCAAAATCATAAATCTATACATGCAAGGTGTTCATTGGTTCAGCCTAAAGAGGCAGGATACCTTGAAGCAGTGGTGAAGGGGGTGGTGCAGGGAGGTTAGTGCTTACAGGTCATAGGTGGATTCAAAGATTTTCTGAGTGGCAATTGGTTGAAAGAGATAAGCTTTGTCTAAAGACTTGAAGTCAGTAGAAAGAAATGCCTGAGCTAAGATAAGGGAGATTGTGGAGGCCAAGGTTTTTGTTATGTAAATAAAGTTTCCAGGAAGTAGCCTTCATAGAGAATAGACGGTAAATGTCTCTTTTTAGATCTTAAAAGTGTCAGACTCTCATTTAGTCTCTCCTAGATCTGGGAAAGACCTAGAAATGTAAGGTCTTGCTGAATTAATGGAAATTCTCTACAGATGCAAATGGAAATTCTCTACAGATGCAAATTTCTCCCACAAGAGAAAACTTTGCAGAGCCATTTCAGAATATGTTAAAGTATATATTTTGGGGTAAAATATTTGTATTTCCCTCAGGGTCTGCTATCTGTCATGCAATGCTATAACAGAGTGAGGTTAAAATCTGGTATCTTATTTCCACGAAGACTCAATTTTGTCAGTCTTATAATCTCTATTTCAATGTTAATTCCTGTCAGTTGTGTCTGAACTTAAAAAAGGAGAATGTATAACAACCTGGAATTAGACTTTTTGCAGCTGCAGGGGTTTCAGTCAAATCTAATAGAAGATGAACCAAAATTGGTCAAATATAATGGAAGATGAACTGGAACAAACAAACAAAAAAAAAGAAAAGAAAAAAAGTGATAGCACAATTTACATATAGTTGAGATCTTGGAGTGTGAGGAAAAGTTGTAGAAAACTAACAATAAACCTTTATCTTAAGCTACCAAATCACAAAACAAAACCCCAAACAAGCTCCTTACCCAGAGAATAGAGCCTATGTTGACGATTTGCTCTCCCCTTCGCAGAAGCAGGAAACTCCCTGAAAATGAGTTCTGTGGCAGAATAAACCTAAGATCTCAGCCAAAATACAGAGATTAAGGATCTCTGGAAGGGGATGCTACTAGTCCTCAGCAAGTCATCCAATCAGTCAGAGTAATTAAGAGCTTCTGCTGGTACCAGCCCCAATAGGAGGGTTGCTGCAGGCCAAGAGCCAAACCCCATTTAAAGAATCCCTCTGTGACTACAAAAATGTAAACCAAAAGTTGACTAAGGTATATCTGAATTTAAAGGTTTAATTTGACGAAGTTGAGGAGACACCTGGGAAAAAGAAGCACAAGTCCCAGTAGGATCTGCACCCTATGCTTTTTTCAGATAGGATTTTGAGAACTTTAATATTTAAAAGGGAAAGAGTGAGCAGGATGGGAAGGAGAGAAGAAAAAAATAAAGGGAGACTGGGTAGGCAATGAGGTAAGTGGTTACATTCTTGTGAGACTCTGATTAGCACTCAGTGAATCTACATTTTACATGTAGAAAGAAAGGAGTGAAGAGAATGGTCAATTATGCATTCATCTTTTTTTTTTTTATTATACTCTAAGTTTTAGGGTACATGTGCACATTGTGCAGGTTAGTTACATATGTATACATGTGCCATGCTGGTGCGCTGCACCCACTAATGTGTCATCTAGCATTAGGTATATCTCCCAATGCTATCCCTCCCCCGTCCCCCGACCCCACCACAGTCCCCAGAGTGTGATATTCCCCTTCCTGTGTCCATGTGATCTCATTGTTCAATTCCCACCTATGAGTGAGAATATGCGGTGTTTGGTTTTTTGTTCTTGCGATAGTTTACTGAGAATGATGGTTTCCAATTTCATCCATGTCCCTACAACTTATGCCCATTAAATCTACATGTTACATAAGATGAAGTAAGCATGTGAAATTACAGTTATCTGTTTGAAAACGAAAGGAAGGTAATTTTTTTGTGTGTGACTCAGTTCCAAAACCTAACTTTCCCTTTGGCTTAGTGAATTTGGGGTCCTGGAGTTTTATTTTTCTTTCATACACTAAATAAACATTTTTTGTTGTCCACTAAAAAGATTTTATGAATGATGAAATCCAATGACACAACATCATAAAGGAAAGTAAATTTAGAGCATTTTCTTAATGACAAACTGTCTGAAGCATATTTATGACTCTATTGGGAAAACATATTTTCTTCATCAGGTAATGTATTCTAAATACAAGGTTTTTCACAAGGTTACTGTGCAGTTTAAATGAGATAATACAGGCATAAAGAAGTGCTCTCAGAATTATATGCACTTACCAGAAACTATACTAAGCCTTAAAGCTCAATCGTTGTAATGACATTATGAAAGAAACACTATTATCATTTCTATGTATCTCAGATAAGGCAACTGAAATTTATAGAAGTTTAGAAATTTGCCCAGGGCTCTACAGCTAATGATAGGATTCAAAAACAGCCTTCTTTTAGTCTGAAATCCACAGGTTTAACTACAGCTCTAGGTTACTGCCCAAATGTGTTGGTTTCCTTTCTACCTTGTCTGCTTTAAACAAAACTGCCTACATATTTAGCATTCAGTAAACTTATAAGTTTTGCTTTAAAATAAGCAAATATAAGCCATACCTCTTCTGGTTATTTTTTATAATTAATTTCTAAAGAATGTTTTTGCTATTTTCATATGGTTTTATGTCTTAGTGCCTATACAGGAAGCAGGGATTTCCTCACGTATTTAAAAAAAATACTGATAACTTTAGGTTCATTGTTCAAATATGTAAATTAAGTTTTCTAGAATTATTACATTTTATAATGCCTAAGTGTTATATGCCACCTTCCTCAGTTGCTTTTCATAATGGTCTCTGAAAAGTTTTGACATGTAATTTTCTTCAGTACCAAAGACTGCTCTATGCATTCTTAGGATAGTCTGAAATACTTCAAAGAATTCTCTCCTCAAAAAGGTGATAGTTCAAGACCAATCTTTCCACATAGACCAAAAGAGAATGTCAAAAATTATTTGGGAAGAAAACCGGAGGAATGTAATTTGTAAATGCAGCTTTCAAAGAAATATACGGCAATTACATATCCTAAATTCCACAAAATTGAAAAATATAATGCCCTCTCCTGATGCTACTTTTCTATTATTGGGATTGCTAGGTTTCGGATACCTTAATCGATTTTTTCATATAATAAAATTATAAGACAATTCTCTCATTTTTTCTTAGTAATTTGGACTACTTATTTCTGTTTTGATCAGACAATGTTAAAAAGATCATGTTGACCACTAACTACATGTTTGGTGGGTATCTTTTAAATGTTTGGACTATATTACCCTATTTAATTTAAGGCTCTGGCAATGCAAGCACTCGTTTTAGAAAACAATCTACTTGTAAATGAAGGCAAAAAATGTTTTTTTTCCTAGTCAATTAGATGTCAGCCAAGGAAAATAGTGAGTAAAATATTATAAATGCTTATCTTTGTGGGGCAATTACTTTGAAAATATGACATATGCCATTTGTTAATATTGCCAAAAAATTATATTCTAAACAGAAAATAGCCTCATTCATTATCAAACATCATCAGGAAAATCAATAGGCATATAATCACATGGCACCATTCACTTGGGACATATGATTTCAAGAGAAAGAACTTAAAACTCTATGCTAAACACTTAGACATATACTGACAAGTCTGGTGAGACAGTTAAGATTGAAAAATAACATGTCCCAGAGACAAAACTTCTATAATATGAAACTGTTTTGTGGCCCAGACTAGGGGGCCTGAGCTTGCAGGATGGAAGCAAAGAGTAGTTCCTGGTAAAATGTGAAACTGCATTGGCATCTCACACCAACAAACTCAGGTTTCTTGGGTAATTTTCTGTGCAAAGAGTGAGGAATGTCCTAAAATTGAAAGATTAAAAGCCCCATGTTAGGTGCTCATTTCTCTGTTGGATGAAACTAAACCCATTCCCCATAAAGGCTAGATGTTACAAGTAATAGAACTGTGTAAGCATTTGGCTTGAGTCTGGCTGTCTACCAGTATCATGAAGGACCTGGTCCCTTTCCATCCTTGTGCTCTGTTATGGTTGTTCCCTAAGTGCCTTCATACTTTTCTCCCCAGGGTCCCAAATTGTTTACAGAGATTTACAGTATCAGAACTGCAATCAGAGGAAGAAAACCAGAAGCCTGGCTGTAGAAGTGGAATTTAAAGGGTGGGAAAACTTTTCTGCTTATCAGAGAGAGAGGGTATTCTTTTCCAAAAGCCTTTCAGCCAACTTCCTTTCAAGTGTCCTTAAATAGAATTGTATCACATGGCTAGTCCTACCTGCCTAAGCAACTGGGAAGATAAATACGTGTTTTCCCACCCCTTACCCTGGAAACAAGTAAAGAAATCACAGGTTTGGGAATTGTTTTGTCTAATTGGCCAGAAACACTATCTACCACAGTTCTGTCACATGATGTCTCCTTAGCGCTGTAAGAGAAGAGTAAATGATTTGGCTGAGAAAGGTTGCTAGAGGCAAGAGGCAGACATAAAAGAGGAAAATCAAGAGAGGTTACGGCTGGAGATGCCTATAATTCCAGCACTTTGGGAAGCTGAGGAGGGAAAATTTCTTGAGCTCAGGAGTTCAAGACCAACCTGGGCAAAATGCTGACACCCCAATTTATTAGTCCGTTCTCACACTGCTATAAAGAAATACCTGAGACTGGGTAATTTATAAAGAAAAGATGTTCAACTGGCTCATGATTCCACAGGCTGTACAGGAAGCCATAGCAGCTTCTGCTTCTGGGGAGACCTCAGGGAGTTTTACTCGTAGCAGAAGGCAAAGTGGGAGCAGGTGCATCTCACTGTTAGAAGCATGAAGAAGTGGGGGGAGGTGCTACACAGTTTTAAACAACCGGATCTCATGAGAACACTATCACTAGAATAGCACCAAGGGCATGGTGCTGACCCATTCATGAAGGATCCACCCCCATAATCAAATTACCTCCCACCAGTTTCTACCTACAACACTGGGGATTATAATTCAACATGAGATTTTCATGGGGATACAAATCCAAACCATGTCATCTGTCTCTAAAAAAAAAATGTGAATATTATCCAGGCCTGGTGGTGCACACCTGTAGTCCCAGCTACTCAGGAAGCTGAGGTGGAAGAATTGCTTGAACCTTGAAGGTAGAGGCTGCAGTGAGCTGAGATTGTGCTACTGCACTTCAGCCTCAATGACAGAATGAGACCTGTCAAAAAAAAAAAAAAAGGAAGAGAGAGAGGTTATAATGAAACTCTATTGTGTATATATGTCACAGTTTCTTTATCCATTTGTCCTTTGGTAGACTCATGTTTATTCCATATCTTGACTATTGTGAATAGTGCTGCAATAAACATGGAGTTAGATTTCTCTTAGACATACTTTTAAAAATTGACATAAAATTGTATGCATTTGTCACATACAATTTTATGTCAATTTTTAAAGGTAAAAATGAAAAGCAAATACATTTTTAAAAAGAGAAACTAAAGGCAGTGATAAAAGGAAATTAGAACAGGTCAAAGCCAGATCAATGCTGTCATAACATCTGAACAGAGAATCTGCCCTGAAGACCAGAATATCAGATAAAAGCAATTTGTTTTATTACATGTGAGTTCTTTCCATCACCGATATTCCCCCTATCCACCCCCCAAAAAATTTAAATGACTCTGGGCTAATCTTTTGGTATATGGCAAAACAGTCTGTGCACAGAATTCTAAGCTGGTCCCAAAATAACCCATGGCATACACCTTATATATAATCCCCTCCCATAATTAAGTGCGGGTGAGACCTGTGAAAATGATGTGTTTCTCTCTTGTGATTAAGTTACATTGCAAAGGTGAAGAAATTTTGGAGATTCAATAAAGGTCCATATTAGTTGGCTTTTAGTTATTCAACCACAGATTATTTTGCATTGGTTTGACCTAATCTGGGGAGTCCCTTAAAAGAGACTGAAAGATTACTTTCCTGCAGGGTTCAAGGATGAAAGCAAACAGCCATGTTGTGAACTGCCTGTGCAGAGGGGCAGCCTCTGGAGACTGAGGGTCTCAGTCCTACAGCTGCAAGAAGCTGAATTCTACTAATAGGACCCCCTATGAGTGTGGGAGAGGATGCTGAGCCTTACATGACCCTACAATTCTCACCAACAGCTTAATTATAACTGTTTAAGATTTTGAGGAAATGATCCACCAAAGCTGTGCCTCAGCTCCTAATCCATAAGCAATTATTGAGAGACAGGAGTAGAGCCAGATGGCAGAATAGAAGGCTTTACTGCTTGTCACCCCCCAAAGATATCAATTTAACAACTATCTACACATAGAAAAAGCACCTTCAAATGAATCAGAAATCAGATCAGCACTCACATTACCTGGTTTTAACTTCATATGGCTGAAAGAGGCACTGAAGAGGTAGGAAAAATAGTCTTGAATCTCAATGTCACTCCTCCCCTGTTCCTTCCCAGCAGCAGTGGCAAGGTATGGAGAGCATTTCTGTGTACTAGAGGAGAGAGAGCACAATTGTGAGGCACTAAACTCAGTGTTGTCCTGTTATCACAGAAAAGAAAACTGAACCAAACTCAATTGATGCCCACCCATGGAGAGAGGATTTAAACCAGCACTGACCAGAGGAAGACCACTGATCCCAGTGGTCTGAACTTGAATTCCCACAAACCTCACCACCATGGGCTAAACTGTTCTGAGTTCCTGACATGGTTTGGCTGTGTCCCTACCCAAATCTCATCTTGAATTGTGGCTCCCATAATCCCCATGTGTCATCAAAGGAACCCAGTGGGAGGTAATTGAACCATGGGGATGGATTTTCCCATGCTGTTCTTGTGATAGTGAATAAATCTCATGAGATCCAATGGTTTTGTAAAGGTCAGTTGCCCTGCAAATGCTCTCTTGCCTACCACTATGTAAGACATGCCTTGGCTCCTCCTTCACCTTTGTGATTATTTTATTATTATTGAAAGGGGGAATTACATTACCTGACTTCAAATTATACTACAGAGGTGAGGTGTAGTAATCAAAACAACATGGTGCTGGCATAAAAACAGACACATAGACCAATGGAACGGGATAGAGAACCCAGAAACAAATCCACACACCTAGAGTGAACTCATTTTCAACAAAGCTGTCAAGTACATACACTGGGGAAAAGACAGTCTTCTTAATAAATGCTGCTGGGAAAATTGAATATCCATGTGCAAAAGAATGAAACTAAACCCCTATCTCTCTCCATATACAAAAATCAATTAAAATTGCAACTATAAAATCAAAAATCAAACTATAAAACAACTACAAAAATATTGGGGAAACTGTTCAGGATATTGGTCTAGGCAAAAATATCTTGAGTAGTAACAAGCACAAGCAAGCAAAGCAAAAATGGATAAATAGGACCATATCAAGTTATAAATTTTCTATACAGCAAATGATACAATCAGGAAAGTGAAGCAACAACCCACAGAATGGAAGAGAATATATGCAAACTATCCATATAATGAGGGATGAATAACTAGAAAACATAACGAGTTCAAACAACTGTATGGGAAAAAATCTAATAATCTGATTAACAAATGGGCAAAAAATCAGAATCAACATTTCTCAAAAGAATACATACAAATAGCAAATTGACATAGGAAAAGGTGCTCAACATCGTTGATCATCAGAAAAATGCAAATCAAAACCAGAATGATCATCTCGTCCCAGTTAAAATGGCTTATATCCAAAAAATAGACAATAACAAATATTGACAAAGATGTGGAGAAAAGGGATACTTTGTACACTGTTGGTTGAATGTAAGTTAGCACAGCCACTATGAAGAAGAGTTTGGAGATCCCTCAAAAAATTAAAAATAGAGCTACCGTATGATCCAGCAATCCCAGTGCTGAGTATATATCCAAAAGAAGGGAACACCGTACATCAAACAGATATCTGCACTATCTTTGTTGCTGCAGCACTGTTCACAATAGCCAAGATTTGGAAACAACCTAAGTGTCCATCAGCAGATGAATGGATAAAGAAAATATGGTACATATTCACAGTGGAATATTTTTCAGCCATAAAACAGAATGAGATCCTGTCATTCGCAACAACATGAATGGAACTGGAGATCATCATGTTAAGTGAAACAGGCCAGGCACAAAAAGACAAACACTACATGTTCTCACTTATTTGCGGTAACAAAAAATTAAAATAATTGAACTCATGGAGATAGAGAATAGAAGGATGGTTACCAGAGGCTGGGAAAGGGAGTGGGGTCTGGAGGGAAGAGTGGGAATGGTTAATAGGTACAAAAGAAAATAGAAAGAGAGTGATTATAGTCAATAATAATTTAACTCTGCATTTAAAAATAACTAAAAGAGTATAATTGGATTGTTTGTAATACAAAGGGTAAACTCTTGAGAGGTTGGACACCCCATTCTCCATGATGGAATTGCATGCATTATATGATTGCATCCATTATCCTTTGCATACCTATATGAAAACATTTCATGTGCACATACTGTATACCCACAAGAATTAAAATAAAAAAGAAACAATTATTGAGAGACAATAACTGAGTGTTGTTTTAAAGTGCTAAATTTATGGTAATTTATAACACAAGAATAGAAAACTAATACCAGATTCTAAAATAATTTTACTTGTTTTTACCCAAACTAATGTGCCTAAGTTTATTTAGGGTTATAAACTATCTTTCTCTTTTTATCTCTCTTTATAAAATATTTTCAGAGAAATATTTATTTAGTATTGTAATTAATCAATGTTCTTCCCTTCTTGTATGTACCCAGCCAATGGTGGGCAGTGCTCTTTTGTTTAATAAACAAAATAATCAGAGCTCTCACCTACCACTTCTATTTTAAATTAGTAGTTATAAAATAGATGCTGACACTCATTTCCTTTTGCATTGGGATCAACTGTTTAAATAATATTTTACTATTATTAAGGGGACAGCAGTGACTTCTTGAAAGTCAAATATAATATAATATGTAAATATATATGTAAGTATATAGTTATATAATTACTTCATAGTTATATTTCTTTAAAAGTTGGAGGGAGAAAAATTACCTTATATCTTTTTATTATTTTCTTACATATTGTCCTTTTTAATATAAAATAGAAAATTATAGGAAGAAGGTAAAACTCATTTATCTTGTTCAGAGGTATTAATCAGTTTGCTGTTTACTCAGATGATTGATCAGATGAATTGCAAATCAGACAAAATACCATTCTCTTCTCACACATTTGAATAGAATCCAATTTATTTAGCACAACCTCATCAAATGAGTACCAGGGAAATTTACTGTTAAATAACTATTAACTTATTGGAAAGACCTTGGATTTTGGAGCCAATCTTCTGACTAAATTCCTTAGCTAGTCTTGGCTCTGACATGCTTCCAACTTGGAAATGACTAGAGATTGTTACCTTTATAAAGAACGTAAAGGATGAGTAGCTCCACTTGCTCCAGGGCACTCAAAGATTTCTTAGAACAGAAACGGAAGACTTTTTATTCTGATTTCTTTGAGATTTTTTTCAGATTTATAAAATTGTGATAAAAACTGGGTGGGTTACTATGATTCAGCTGATGTGTGGTCTTTGAGTGGAACTCTAGATAACCCTGATGAAAATGGAAAAACCAAAATGTGGATTACCTTTAAACAGAACCCAACAGTAATCAGCATTACTTAAGGAAAAGGTTAACACACACACAAAAACATGCTCATAACATACCTGCAGACTTTTGACTTTCTAAGTCTCTTTTGAATTTTCTGATGTATTCCCACACTTGCAGCATTTCAGCTTTATGTTGTTTTGTTTTTTCAAGTGGAGTTTAAAAATTTTTCCATTTCAATTGTTGGTTGCCATTACACAGAAAAAAATAATTTTTGTATATTGACCTTGTGTTTTTTGACCTTGCTGAATTCAATTAATAGTTCTATGTTTCTTTTTTAGATTCATTGAAATTTTTTCACGAATAATCATGTCATTTAAGAATAGAGACAGTTAATTTTTGCTTTTTAATATTTATGTCATTTATTATTTTTTTCTTGCCCTATTACCCAAGCAAAGTTCTCCAGTGAAATTTAAATGAAGATCAGAATACCAAACATTTTTGCATTGTTCACAATGTTAGGGAAAGGGATTAATATTTCACCATTAAACATGATTAGTTACAGCATTTTCCTAGATGCCTCTTATCTGACTGAGGTTCTTCCCTTGTATTTCATGTTTTCTGAGATTCTTCTTAATGAATAATTGCTGTTTTTCTTTTCAAATTTATTTTATATATCTATTGAGATGGTTATTTAATTTTCATCATTTTTCTATTTATCTAAAATATTTAATTGATTTCAAAATCTTAAACTAACCTCAAATTCCTGAGAAAAATTTTACTTATTTTGAGGGATTTCTTTTACAATGATGCGTTTAATTTCTTTATAGTTTAGAATATTTTGCATTCTTAATGATGTTTGCCTCAGGACTTTGGGTCTGCTGCAGCTTTTTTGAAATGCTTTGTTAGGTTTTGTCAATGGCTTA